>NC_000015.10:93259459-93410975 GCF_000001405.40 Homo sapiens | reverse complement strand
ACATACTGTGTGTTATCGGAAAGATATTGTAAAAGCATCACAGGATCTCCTTTTGTACGATGCAGCCAAACCAGTTGCTGCTGTCACTGCCAAGATAAACTGCAGCAAGAAATCCAGCTACCCCTACCCCCACTGGCCATTTTAAAGAAACATCTCACAGAGACTTCCTATGTTTGTCTCAGAAACCAACCAATCAGAGCTCACCTGAACCAACCAATTAGAGATACCTGCCCTGGCCAATCACGGCTCAGTTTTATCAACCCATCAAGGCTCATTTATACTGACCAATCAGAACTCAGTTGCATCAACCAGTCCTTCCATTGCATAGACAGACCTGATTGAGAATCTCAGAAGTATTGTGGAAGAACAGGGAGGCGAGTTTCAAGAAGGAAAGGATGGAAATTGAGACTCCGTCTCAAAAAAAAAAAAAAAAGATAACTGGGGTTTTATCTAAGCAAAATGTAGCCCGTGAGCTTTCATTTATTTATTTAGTCATTCATTCATTCATTCAGCAAACATTTTTGGAGTGCCTACACTGTGCCAGGCACAAGAGAGACTTGAGGAACATTCACAGCAAATCTTTCATTTACTATCCTGAATTATGCAGGTATTAAAACTAAGGCTTGGGTACTTGTTCCAAGTAGCACAGTTAAGCAACCATGGTTTTCCAGTCGGACATTAAAAAATAAGCCAAGGTGTGGCCGGGCGCGGTGGCTCACGCCTGTAATCCCAGCACTTTGGGAGGCTGAGGCAAGTGGATCACAGATCAGGAGTTCAAGACCAGCCTGGCCAAGACGGTGAAACCCCGTCTCTACTAAAAATACAAAAAAAAAAAAAAATTAGCCGGGCGCGGTGGCAGGCGCCTGTAATCCCAGCAACTCAGGAGGCTGAGGCAGGGAATCCCTTGAACTCGGAGGGCAGAGGTTGCAGTGAGTCGAGATCGCGCCACTGCACTCCAGCCTGGGCGACAGAGTGAGACTCCATCTCAAAAAAAGAAAAAGCCAAGCTTTCAAGCCCAAGTAATTACTATTTATCTTTTCCTTACATGTATCAGAAATGCCATAGAGAAATGTCTGTGGAATGACTCTCTGGAGCCATTTGAAGTTTTACTTATTAGGATTTTTCCTTTTCTTTTCAGTTTTTCCAGCTTTTCACAAAGAGTCAAGTATATGCATGTTGCAAAATTTCTGCTTAATAAAACATATTTACTTCTCATGTACAATGGCCTTTAAGGTAATACTTTAGAAGTCCTGTTGAAGTTCTTCACTGGAGACCCACTCTTCACTCCCCAAGCAGGGCTTATTTTTCACAGCAAAAACAAACAAAAACAAAGCTGCTGAAAGTAGGGTGGGAGATTGGGGAAAGCCAAAAGAGAAAAAGAGAGAAGTTTGGGGCTTTTTCTTTTTTTTTTTTTTCCTTTTTTTCTGGCCAAAGCCTGCCTTTAAAGAGAAAATAAAATCTAAGTACTTAACAAAGTTTATTTGCCTGTTTTTTTCTTTGTCATTCAATCTCATATACCCAATTTTCCTAATATCTCTGCAAAATTCAAGCATACGCTTTTTCACCCTTGGTCTTCTCTGCTCTATGAGAAAGTCAGCAGGTAGCCCATCTCAGCCCCAACTGAAGCTGCAGCTAAAATCCCTAGAGTTTACAGGGTACTCAACAGTCGGCCCATATCTTCCTGGAGCTCGCTGCACATGGAAACCTCATGTCCCACTTAGGACAGTTCTGATGATCCTGTCATCTAACCAAACTTTATGGGAGACCTGGAAGAGACACAGGGGTAAGTACCTTCATAAACTGTGTGGCCACCTTGCCTGCGGCTGAATTGCATTGCCTATTATTACAGGTCGCTTGGATTCCCTCTCCAGAACTGAGCCACACTAACCCTCTGCAGGTAGCTGGCCAGAAAGGGAGACAAAATACCAAGTAATTGTCTTTAGAGAACTTTCTAGTGCATAAAACTCTTGTAAAGCAGTAATTGAGATATATTTTTAGACTTTCTCCTGGACCCTAACATTAGCTATCTCTTACTATGCCACATGCTGCTCTTCGTGTTTCTTACATGTATTTACTCATATAATCTTCGAAACAGTCATTAGAAATCTTGCTACCGAAAGCATGGCCCATGGGACAGCAGCATCACCACCATCCAGGAGCTTGCAGAATTTCAGGTTCCACCCTGGGTTCACTAAATCAGAGTCTCCTTTTTTTTTTTTGAGACAGAGTTTCGCTCTTGTTGCCCAGGCTGGATTGTAATGGTGCTATCTTGGCTCACTGCAACCTCCGCCTCCCGGGTTCAAGCGATTCTCCTGCCTCAGCCTCCTGAGTAGCTGGGACTACAGACGTGTGCCACCACACCTGGCTAATTTTTTGTATTTGTAGTAGAGATGGGGTTTCACTATGTTGGCCAGGCTGGTCGCGAACCCCTCACCTCAGGTGATCCACCTGCCTCAGCCTCCGAAAGTGCTGGGATTACAGGCGTGAGCCACCATGCCTGGCAGAGTCTGCATTTTAACAAGCTGATGTTTGTGCATATTCTATTCCAGTTCGAGAAGCACGGCTCTAGTAACTGCTATTATCTTCATTTTATATACAAAGAAACCAAGGCACAGAAAGACTGAGTAACTTGCACAGGAATATGCAGATAGTAAGAGGTAGAGCCGGGATTCACACCCAAGGAGTCAGGAGTCAGAGCCCGTTATCTTTCACACCACAAACATGGCCATTGAATGACTACTTAAATACCTTCCCAAAGTGATTTCTTATTGCCAGCCCTGCATGAGTGAGTCCAGGCCTCCTCCTCCCTGTTGCCGGTGTCTCTCCAAAACACTGCTCTCATTATACTTCCCTGCGTAGCATAGTCTATGTCACCCCAAGACCTACAAGATCAAGTCTAAATGCTTCTTCATAGAGGTGAAGGTCTGTGACAATATGGCCCCGACAATCTTACCCACCTGATCTTTCAGCTTTCCTGCCTTCTCACTCATGTAGTCCAAACCCAGCGGGCAGATCATCTGAGGTCAGGAGATCGAGACCAGCCTGGCTAACATGGTGAAACCCCATCTCTACTAAAAATACAAAAAAATAGCTGGGTGTGGTGGCAGGTGCCTACAGTCCCAGCTACTCGGGAGGCTGAGGCAGGAGAACTGCTTGAACCCAGAAGGCGGAGGTCTCAGTGAGCCAACATCGTACCACTGCACTCCAGCCTGGGTAACAGACCGAGACTCCATCAAACAAACAAACAAACAAACAAACAAATAAATAAATGGGATCATACAGTCCAAACCCAGGATGCCTTTGTATCCTCACACAGACTGAGTATGCCCTCTACCTGGAAGGTTCCTACTCATCCACCTGGCAAAACCAAGGCCTCCTACAAATCCCAAGTGTCATTTCAACATAGAAGCATTTCTCAGCTCCCTTGGCCAAATTTTACCATCTCAGGCCTTCTGTTCTCACAGCATCTAGTTCATGTCGCTTTTGTAAATGCTACCTGTGGTTATAAGTGTATGTCTCTCCTCCAACTCCCAGATGTGGCCTCCATGGGAAGAGGCCATGTCATATCTGTTTTTAACCCACTGTGTCCGCACAGGGCTTTACTCATGATGGTGGGTGCTTCTCCTGTGACTCAATGAAACGTGTGTGCTTCGTAGTTCTACTGAAGAATGGAGAGAACACAGCATTTTACACAAGAAACCCTCTGCTTGGTAGAAAGAAAGAAAGTGCCACCTATTGTGTCTTCCCTCTAATGGTCCTTGGAAGGAGCAGTGCAGATTATGTAATGAAGAGCTTCATTTTAAAAGCCAGCAACTTCCCTAGCTAGTATAGAGAGGAGGTTGAAGAGTGCAGTCATGCTACCATAGCCATTCTCTTTGCATCCTGATAGTTGGAATATCCTGAGGGTCTTGCTCCTTTCTGATCTCAATGTTCTGTGAGCCAAAAATCATAGCATGTGGGAAGCCGACACCCAGATCATTCGGCACTGCGCACCCCAGCCCTTCAGTACAGAGAGGGAATTATTTCAGTTGTTCATAACGTTGGGTCACCAGTTACTTCTAGGTACATTTGCTTTTATTACATTTCAATATCTTTTTTTTTTTTTTGGAGATGGCGTCTCACTCTGTCACCCAGGCTGGAGTGCAGTGGCGTAATCTCAGCTCACTGCAAACTCTGCCTCCTAGGTTCAAGCAATTCTCCCGCCACAGCCTCCAGAGCAGCTGGGATTACAGGTGTGCACCACCACACCTGGCTAATTTTTGTATTATTAGTAGAGATGGAGTTTCACCATGTTGGCCAGGCTGCTCTCAAACTCCTGACCTCAAGTGATCTGCCCACCTCGGCCTCCCAAAGTGCTGGGATTATAGGCATGAGCCACTGCGCCCAGCCACTACATTTCAATATCTTCATGTTGAATCAAATTGCCCTTTAAAATAGGCTTTTGGAAAATCCAGGCACTTTTGGAAGCCCTCCTGAACATAAAATCAACTCCTGGACTATATCCACCTGCATGACAATATTTGTTTTTTGAAAAGTCTCAGATACCAACACTTCCTCCACAATATTCAAAGAAAAGTCAAAAAAACTGTCCAAAGACTGTGACAGAAGAGGGAGACCGAGAGACATCTCTATTGTTTATCACTTGAAAATGTGCTACTTAGAGAGGACATCTGTCGTAAGTATTGTAGTTGGTATTTTAGTTGCCCTGTGAATTGTCAAGCCTTTGTAATATTTCCATGTGGCTTTGAAAAACGGTTATGGAGGAGATGTGCCAGTTCTAGCTCTACTTCTCACATCCTACCATTTAGAGATGGTGGGAACAGTCTGTATTTGCCACAGAACATTCTTTTGCCCAACATTCATGGCAAAAGAGGCCTCCACACCCTCAGCCCCAGATTTGCATCTCACTAGCTCTTGGCCTGTAGGGAAATGAACTGGACAACTC
This sequence comes from Homo sapiens, assembly GCF_000001405.40. NCBI lineage: Eukaryota > Metazoa > Chordata > Mammalia > Primates > Hominidae > Homo > Homo sapiens. Next base: position 93,406,030 of record NC_000015.10, on the reverse strand, counting down.
ACCACATGCCTTTAACTATGCTCTTCTATGTACCTGGAGTGCCACCTCACACCTGCTCATTTGTCACTGTTCTAAATCCAACTCGTTTCTCAAAGTCTAGTTCCTCTGCTGGCACGGAGTAGACCAGCTCAAGATCTGTGCCATGGAGGGCTGCTCACGCCAAGACCACTGTGAGGTCGTGAAGGCTACTGTTGCCTCCCTTGGAGGTAGAGAACTTTTGAAACTCAATGGTAATTAACATGTATCTGACTAGATGTTTCAAGCATCTGCGTGATAGGAACAAAACTATACCTCACTTGTATCTCCCCATGGTCCCTGGCACATAGCAAGTATTCAATAAATGTTTATTGGATTAACTGGATGAATACAGTCCCCTGCACTTAAATGAATATTAGTTTGTGATTATACACAACATTAAAGTATGTTTAAACATATATATTACTAGTTCCTAAGTGCAATTTAAATATTACCTTATTAAAATGAAACAAATTCAAACGAGTAAGATAATAGTGAGAAGAGTCTTACACACAAAATCTTGTTATATTATTAGGAAAGTAACAGTAGTTCCAAATAAAATGGCACATAAATAACCCATCCAGTGGGTATGGAACAGAAAGGCTGTAAACCCAGGTGTATTAGTCCATTTTCACACTGCTGATAACGACATACCCAAGACTGGGAAGAAAAATAGGTTTAATTGGACTTATAGTTGCACATGGCTGGGGAAGTCTCTGAATCATGGCGGGAGGCAAAAGGCACTTGTTACATGGCAGAAGCAAGTGAAAATGAGGAAGAAGCAAAAGCAAAAACCCCTGATAAACCCATCAGATCTTGTGAGACTTATTAACTATCATGAGAATAGCACAGGAAAGATCAGCCCCCATGATTCAATTACCTTCCCTTGGGTCCCTCCCACAACACATGAGAATTCTGGGAGATACAATTCAAGTTGAGACTCAGATGCGGACACAGCCAAACCATATCATTCCGCCCCTAGCCCCTCCAAAGCTCAAGTCCTCACATTTCAAAATCAGTCATGCCTTCCCAATAGTCCCCCAAAGTCTTAACTTATTTCACCATTAACCCAAAAGTCCACAGTCGAAAGTCTCATCTGAGACCAAGGCAAGTACCTTCTGCCTATGAGCCTGTAAAATCAAAAGCAAGCTAGTTACTTCCTAGATATAATGGGGGTGCAGGTATTGGGTAAATACAGCCATTCCAAATGGGAGAAATTGGCCAAAACAAAGGGGTTACAGGGCCCATGCAAGTCTGAAATCCAGCAGGGCAGTCAAATTTTAAGGCTTCAAAATGATTCCAGGTCTCCCATCCAGGTCATGCTGATGCAAGAGGTGGGTTCCCGTGGTCTTGGGCAGCTCCGCCCCGTGGCTTTGCAGGGTACAGCCTTCCTCCCAGCTGCTTTCACAGGCTGGCGTTTTGTGTCTGCGGCTATTACAGGTGCTGGTGTTTAATGTTTGTGGCTATTCCAGGTGCACGGTGCAAATTGTCAGTGGATCTACCATTCTGGGGTCTGGAGGACAGTGGCCCTCTTCCCATAGCTCCACTAGGTGGTGTCCCAGTAGGGACTCTGTCTGGGGACTCTTACCCCACATTTCCCTTCCACACTGCCCTAGCAGATGTTCTCCATGAGGGCCCCACCCCTGCAGCAAACTTTTGCCTGGGCATCCAGGTGTTTCCATACCTCTTCTGAAATCTAGGCAAAGGTTCCCAAACCTCAATTCTTGACTTCTGTGCACTGGCAGGCTCAACACCTCATGGAAGCTGCCAAGGCTTGGGGCTTCCACTCTGAAGCCACAGCCCAAGCTGTACGTTGGCCCCTTTCAGTCATGGCTGGAGTGGTTGGGACACAGGGCACCAAGTCCCTAGGCGGCACACAGCACGGGGACCCTGGGCCCGGCCCATGAAACCACTTTTTCCTCCTGGGTCTGTGATGGGAGGGGCCGCCATGAAGGTCTCTGACATGGCCTGAAGACATTTTCCCCATGGTCTTGGGGATTAACCTTAGGCTCCTTGCTACTTATGCAAATTTCTGCAGCTGGCTTAAATTTCTCCCCAGAAAATGGGTTTTTCTTTTCTATCACATAGTCAGGCTGAAAGTTTTCCAAACTTTTACGCTCTGCTTCCCTTATAAAACTGAATGCCCTTAACAGAACCCAAGTCACCTCTTAAATGCTTCACTGCTTAGAAATTTCTTCTGCCAAATACCCTAAATCATCTTTCTCAAGTTCAAAGTTCCACATATTTCTAGGGCAGGGGCAAAATGCTGCCAGTCTCTTTGCTAAAACATAACAAGAGTCACCTTTACTCCAGTTTCCAACAAGTTCCTCATCTCCATCTGAGACCACCTCAGCATGGACCTTATTGTCCATATTTCTATCAGCATTTTGGGCAAAGCCATTCAACAAGTTTCTAGGGGGTTCCAAACTTTCCCATATGTTCCGTCTTCTTGTGAGCCTTCCAAACTGTTCCAACTTCTGCCTGTTACCCAGTTCCATAGTCGCTTCCACATTTTCGGGTATCTTTTCAGCAATACCCCATTCTACTGCTACCAATTTACTGTATTAGTTCATTTTCACACTGCTGATAAAGACATACCCAAGACTTGGAGGAAAAACAGGTTTAATAGGACTTACAGTTCCACATGGCTGGGGAGGTCTCAGAATCATGGCAGGAGGCAAAAGGCACCTCTTACATGGCAGCAGCAAGAGAAAATGAGGAAGAAGCAAAAGGAGAAACCCCTGATAAACCCATCAGATCTCATGAGACTTATTAACTATCACAAAAGTAGTCTGGGAAAGATCAGCTACCATGATTCAATTATCTCCCACAACAAGTGGGGATTCTGGAAGATACAATGCAAGCTAAGATTTGAATGGGAAACAGCCAATATCATACTGAATGGGCAAAAACTGGAAGCATTCCCTTTGAAAACTGGCACAAGACAAGGATGCCCTCTCTCACCAATCCTATTCAACAGAGTGTTGGAAGTTCTGGCCAGGGCAATCAGGCAAGAGAAAGAAACAAAGGGTATTCAATTAGGAAAAGAGGAAGTCAAATTGTCCCTGTTTGCAGATGACATGATTGTATATCTACAAAACCCCATCGTCTCAGTCCAAAATCTCCATAAGCTGATAGGCAACTTCAGCAAAGTCTCAGGATACAAAATCAATGTGCAAAAATCACAAGGATTCCTATACACCAATAACAGACAGACAGCCAAATCATGACTGAACTCCCATTCACAATTACTACAAAGAGAATAAAATACCTAGGAATCCAACTTACAAGGGATGTGAAGGACCTCTTCAAGGAGAACTACAAACCACTGCTCAACGAAATAAAAGAACACACAAACAAGTGGAAGAACATTCCATGCTCATGGATAGGAAGAATCAATGTCGTGAAAATGGCCATACTGCCCAAAGTAATTTACAGATTCAAAGCTATCCCCTCAAGCTACCACTGACTTTCTTCAAAGAACTGGAAAAAACTACTTTAAAGTTCATATGGAACCAAAAAAGAGCCCGCATTGCAAAGACAATCCTAAGCAAAAAGAACAAAGCTGGAGGCATCACGCTTCCTGACTTCAAACTATACTACAAGGCTACAGTAACAAAAACAGCATGGTACTGATATCAAAACAGATATATAGACCAATGGAACAGAACAGACGCCTCAGAAATAACAATACACATCTACAACCGCCTGATCTTTGACAAACCTGACAAAAACAAGAAATCGGGAAAGGATTCCCTATTTAATGAATGGTGCTGGGAAAACTGGCTAGCCATATGGAGAAAGCTGAAACTGGATCCCTTCATTACACTATATACAAAAATTAACTCAAGATGGATTAAAGACTTTTAGACCTAACATCATAAAAACCCTAGAAGAAAACCTAGGCAATACCATTCAGGACATAGGCATGGGCAAAGACTTCATGACTAAAACTCCAAAAGCAATGGCAACAAAAGCCAAAATTGACCAATGGGATCTAATTAAACTAAAGAGCTTCTGCACAGCAAAAGAAACTATCATCAGAGTGAACAGGCAACCTACAAAATGGGAGAAAATTTTTGCAATCTACCCATCTGACAAAGGGCTAATATCCACAATCTAGAAAGAACATAAACAAATTTACAAGAAAAAAACAACCCCATCAAAAAGTGGGCAAAGGATATGAACAGACACTTATCAAAAGAAGACTTTTATGCAGCCAACAGACATATACAAAAATGCTCATCATCACTGGTCATCAGAGAAATGCAAATCAAAACCACAATGAGATGCCATCTCATGCCAGTTAGAATGAGAATGATGATCATTAAAAAGTCAGGAAACAACAGATGCTGGAGAGGATGTGGAGAAATAGGAACACTTTTACACTGTTGGTGGGAGTGTAAATTAGTTCAACCATTGTGGAAGACAGTGTGGCGATTCCTCAAGGATCTAGAACTAGAAATAACATTTGACCCAGCAATCCCATTACTTGGCATATACCCAAAGGATTATAAATCATTCTATGATAAAGACACATGCACATGTATGTTTATTGCGGCACTACTCACAATAGCAAAGAATTGGAACCAACCCAAATGTCCATCAATGATAGACTGGATTAAGAAAATGTGGAACATATACACCATGGAATACTGTGCAGCCATAAAAAAGGATGAGTTCACGTCCTTTGCAGGGACATGGATGAAGCTGGAAACCATCATTCTAAGCAAACTATAACAAGGACAGAAAACCAAACACTGCATGTTCTCACTTACAGGTGGGAGCTCAACAATGAGAACCACGGACACAGGGCAGGGAACATCACACACCAGGGCAGGTCAGTGGGTGGGGGACTGGGGAAGGGATAGCATTAGGAGAAATACCTAATGTAAATGACAAGTTGACGGGTGCAGCGAACCAACATGGCACATGTATACCTATGTAACAAACCTGCACGTTGTGCACATGTACCCTAGAACTTAAAGTATATTAAAAAAAAAAAAAAAAAGATTTGGATTGGGACACAGCCAAGCCATATCACCAGGTGAACCAGAATCTTGCTGCAAGCAGGTAACTTTTAACCCCAGTCACTACTGATGGAGGGAGAGAAGAGAGGAGAAAGGTAAGGGGTCCCTAGTGATATTCAGAAATGCGATGGAGGAAAAGCTTTTGAGTTAGAGCAGGCAAATCTTTTCAGGCAGCTCTCAAACCAAAATTTATCTTTTCTTTTTTTAATCCTTTTCTTTTTTTCCTTAAAGAAAACTATAAAGCCTTTCCTAGTACCACAAGAAGGACCACAGTTGGAAGGGATTTGAAAAACATCTTTTTACCTACAGGAGACATCAAAGTCACAGCTCCTAAGGCACCTACAAAACGATGGAAAATTGAGTAACAGCAATCAGCAGTAGAAATGGCAACATAAACATATCGATTCTGTATTACGGGTATCTGAAACCCAACATCCTGTTACTGATAAAATTTTGAAAACTCACTTTGAGAAAGTGCAGCAGAGGGATTGAGATACCTCATAGCATCTGCCTTGTAAGGAGAAGCGCACACTGTGCATATCGTGGTTAAGAGCTTGGAGCCAGGCTGCCTGGGCCGGAATCCTGGATCCTTCATCCAACCAGCTGTGAGTTTTAGCAAATCACTTAGACTCACTGTCTCAGTTTCCTCTTCTCTAAAGTGGGAATAATAATACCTTATAGGGCTGTTTTGAGAATTAAATGGGCTAATATTGAGGGGTAAGTGAGTTAACATTGTCAAGTGCTTAGAAATGGGTTTGACACACACTAAGTAAGCACTGTTGTTCAACAAAGAGCAGCATCCAGTGCAGAAGTGATGAGTGGGAGTGTGGAAAAGATACAACAAAAATGTGACATTCATGCTTCTTTCGTGAAGAGTTTTGCCCATTTTCATTGGATTATTTGTCTTTTTTAATATTGATTTCAGAGTTTTGTATATATTCTAGATGCGAGTCATTTGTCTGATATATATATTTGAAATAAACACATTAAAAGGTGTTCAATATCACTAGTCATTAGGGAAATGCACATTAGAAGCACAATGAGATAACACACACCCACCAGAATGCCTAATGAAAGACAGATGACACCAAACGTTGGGGAGATTGTGGAGCACCTGGAACTCTCAGCACTGCTGGTTGGAGCGTAAAATGATATAGCCATTTTGGAAAACAATTTGGCAGTTTCTTGTAGAGTTAAATATTTACCTGCCATATACCTTGCATATTTACCCAGAAGAAATGAAAATATGTGTTTACACAAAGAGTTGTACAAGAATGTTCACAGCTACTTTGTTCATAATAGCCAAACACTGGAAACAGCCCAAACGTCCATGAAAGGGAGAATGGCTAACCAACCACGGTCTATTGATATCTTGGAACTGATACAACAAATAAGACTCTCATGGACATTACGTTGAGCTAAGGATGACAGACACAAAAGAGACCATACTGTGTACCTGTATTTATAAAAAGTTCAAGAACAGGCAAAACTAATCTATAGAGATGTAAGTCAGAAGAGTAGTTACCTCTGGGAGAAAGGGGGATTGATTGCAATGGGCCAGAAAGAAACATTCTATGGCGGTTATTCTCAACCAGGGGTGACTTTGTCCCTGGGGGAACATGTAGCAATGTCTGAAGATATTTTGATTGTCATGCTACTGGCATCTAGTGGGCAGAGGTCGAGGATGCTGTTAACTAGCCCTCAATACACAGGACAGCCCCCCCACAACAAAGGCAGAGGCTGAGAAATCCTGGTCTGTGTTGATGGAAATGTTCTATAACTTGATGGGTTACATGGTTGTCAAACACATTTGACCAAATCCATCAAATTGTGTATTTTGCTGTACGAACAATTTAAAAAGACAGTGAACATAATGAAAAGAGTCTGACCAGGAGAGAGCTGCTTCCTTAAAGACATACTCAGCTTCTTAATTCACCACCTGAGGAAGGACTGTCAGTTTTACAGTCTTATACCTATACCAATATATTATATATTTTTCCTATAAAATACCAATATTCTGTGTATTTTATATGTATATAATATATACATATGGTTTGTTTTGTTTTGTTTTGTTTTGAGGAGTTTCACTCTTATTGCCCAGGCTGGAGTGCAATGGCGTGATCTCGGCTCACTGCAACCTCTGCCTCCCGGGTTCAAGCGATTCTCCTGCCTCGGCCTCCCAAGTAGCTGGGATTACAGGCATGCCCCCACCACAACCGGCTAATTTTTGTATTTTTAGCAGACACTGGGTTTCTCCATGTTGGTCAGGCTGGTCTCGAACTCCCAACCTCAGGTGATCTGCCCACCTCGGCCTCCCTGAAAGAAATCTTAACTAAGAAGAGAACATTAACATCCTGGCGATTGGAAACCTGACACACAATGGGTAATCGGCAGTGTATGGAGCTCATGCCCCCGAACAGTTTGAAAAGTACTGAAAAATACAATCCTTAGTGTGTTTTTAAAAATATTCCAGGGTGAGGCATGGTGGTTCACACCTGTAATCCTAGCACATTGGGAGGCCGATGGGGGTGGATCACCTGAGATCAAGAGTTCAAGACCGGCTGGGCGCAGTGGTTCACGCCTGTAATCCCAGCACTTTGGGAGGCTGAAGCGGGCGGATCACAAGGTCAGGAAATCGAGACCATCCTGGCTAACACGGTGAAACCCCATCTCTACTAAAAATACAAAAAATTAGCCGGACATGGTGGCAGGTGCCTGTAGTCCCAGCTACTCGGGAGGCTGAGGCAGGGAAATGGCGTGAATCCGGGAGGTGGAGCTTGCAGTGAGCCCAGATCGCACCACTGCACTCCAGCCCGGGCAACAGAGCGAGACTCCGTCTCAAAAAAAAAAAGAGTTCAAGACCAGCCTGGCCAACCAACATGGTAAAACCCCCTCTCTACTAAAAACACAAAAATTAGCTGGGTATGTTGGCAGGTGCCTGTATATGCTATTAAATGCTTTTGACAGCCACAATCCAGGAGGCCATTCCAGTCCTGACAGTGTTCCAAAGGGCTGAAACAAAGACAAGACATAGAATTCATCCCTCGGTTGGCACCAGACAGATCAAAACTCCAGCCACAATTCTTTGAGAACAAGGTCCATACGGCCCCCTGGGATGGCATCAAGCGACACCAAGAACGTTAGCTGGTGTCAGTCCTGTGACCACTGCTTAGCTGAATAATGGAGAATTATAAGCAAATAAGCAAAAAAATCCAAAATGCTGTCATCAAAATTTAGCAGCTTCTCTCTTCATTAAGTACTTCCCTGATTGTTATAAGTTTCTTTTTAGATTCTAGAGTTTTGAAAGAGTTTATTCTGACAGTTTTGGGCAGCTTAATCGAGCTTCAGTGAAGGGAGGGATACTTAGCACTCCCTACTCCACCATTCTCCATAACATTACTTTGTAAACCTTTTGTTTGTTTGTTTTTGTTTTTGTTTTTGAGACGGAGTTTCACTCTTGGTGCCCAGGCTGGAGTGCAGTGGCATGGTCTCGGCTTACTACAACCTCCGCCTCCCGGGTTCAAGTGACTCTCCTGCCTCAGCCTCCCAAGCAGCTGGGGTTACAGGTGCCAGCCACCACGCCCATCTAATTTTTGTAATTTTAATAGAGACAGGGTTTCTCCATCTTAGCCAGGCTGGTCTTGAACTTTTGACTTCAGGTGATCCACCCACCTCAGCCTCCCAAAGTGCTGGAACTACAGGTGTGAGCCATCGCGGCCAGTCAACCTTTTTTTAATCTTTAATATTTTTTCAATGGAATCACCAAAAAGTGTCCATTCTTAACCTACTAAAATTTCATTTACTGCCTCAAATGTCAGCTTTCTTAAAATGTGAACGGTAGTTTACAAACATATGTTAATATCCTGTAGGACACAAAATTTAAATTATATCTATTAAATCAAACTTATTAAGTCATTTATTCAAATATTTTATATATTGATTTTTCTTATTTGTTAGAGATGAATAATGTATTTAGTTCTCTTCTTGCTACTAAATTTTTGCCTTTTCCTCATATTTGTAGTTATCAGCTTGTGCTTTTATGCTGTTATTCATCATACAAGAGTAAACAATTTCTAAATATTTATTGTGGCTTGTGCGCTTTAGCTCTTTGTTCCATTTATGGTTTTTTCTGAGATTTTTATTTTGTCTCATTTTTAAAATACCATCTTCCTTCGTTGTATTTTTTCAAGTCCATTTTTGTCTTTCACTTTTAACTTAAACATGTAATTTGTAGATGTCTCTAAAGTAGCATATAGCTTCACTAGATTTTGTTCTATGACAAATTTATCATCACAAAATGTGACTATACTACTGTCCTTCTGCCTCATGCTTTGTTTTCTCACACTTTCTTGCCCTTTTCTACTTTTTGTTCTATGCTAAATGGTATGTTTTCCTTTATCCATTGATTTAAAGCTATTCCTGTTTCTGTTCTACAAGTTATTTCAATTTAAACAATACATTTGAAGCCAGATGCAGTGGTTTATGCCCATAATCTAGTACATTGGGAAAGCTGAGACAGGAGGATTGTTTGAGGCCAGGAGTTCAAGACCAGCCCATGTGACATAGCGAGACCCCTGTCTCTACAATTTTTTTTAAATTAGTTGGGCTAATTAACGGTGGTGAACACTCATAGTCCTAGCTACCAGAGAGGCTAAGCCAGGAGGATCACTTGAGTCCAGAACTTCGAGGTTATAGTGCACTGTGATCAGGTCACTACATTCCAACCTATATGACAAAGCAAGACTTTGTCTCAAAAAATAAAAGAAAAAAGTATACATATATACACATCACACACACACACACACATACACACACACACACACATATATAGCTGAACTCCTTTTTCTCTGATGGTCAATGTCAAAAATTAAATAACATCTACAGTGGCGGTTCCAAGATGGCCAAATAGGAACAGCTCCAGTCTACAGCTCCCAGCATGAGCAACGCAGAAGAAGGGTGATTTCTGCATTTCCAACTGAGGTATCGGGTTCATCTCACTGAGGCTTGTTGGACAGTGGGTGCAGGACAGTGGGTGCAGCACACCGAGCATGAGCAGAAGCAGGGTGAGGCATCGCCTCACCCGGGAAGCATAAGGGGTCAGCGAATTCCCTTTCATAGCCAAGCAAAGCTGTGACAGATGGCACCTGGAAAATCGGGGCACTCCCACCCTAATACTGTGCTTTTCCAATGGTCTTAGCAAATGGCACACCAGGAGATTATATCCTGTGCATGGCTGGGAGGGTCCCACGCCCACGGAGCCTCACTCACTGGTAGCACAGCAGTCTGAGATCGAACTGCAAGGCAGCAGCGAGGCTGGGGGAGGGGCGCCCACCATTGCTGAGGCTTGAGTAGGTAAACAAAGTGACCGGAAGCTCGAACTGGGTGGAGCCCACTGCAGCTCAAGGAGGCCTGCCTGCCTCTGTAGACTCCACCTCTGGGGGCAGGGCATAGCCAAACAAAAGGCAGCAGAAACCTCTGCAGACTTAAATATCCCTGTCTGACAGCTTTGAAGAGAGTAGTGGTTCTCCCAGCATGCAGCTTGAGATCTGAGAAAGGACAGACTGCTTCCTCAAGTGGGTCCCTGACCCCTGAGTAGCCTAACTGGGAGGCACCCCCGAGTAGGGGCAGACTGACACCTCACACGGCCAGGTACTCCTCTGAGAGGAAACCTCCAGAGGAACGATCAGACAGCAGCATTCGCGGTTCAGAAAAATCCACTGTTCTGCAGCCTCCGCTGCTGATACCCAGGCAAACAGGGTCTGGAGTGGACCTCCAGCGAACTCCAACAGCCCTGCAGCTGAGGGTCCTGACTGTTAAAAGGAAAACTAACAAACAGAAAGGACATCCACACCAAAACCCCATCTGTACGTCACCATCATCAAAGACCAAAGGTAGATAAAACCACAAAGATGGGGAAAAAACAGACCAGAAAAACTGAAAATTCTAAAAATCAGAGCGCCTCTCCTCCTCCAAAGGAATGCAGCTCCTCACCAGCAACGAAACAAAGCTGGATGGAGAATGACTTTGATGAGTTGAGAGAAGAAGGCTACAGACGATCAAACTTCTCCGAGCTAAAGGAGGAAGTTCGAACCCATGGCAAAGAAGTTAAAAACCTTGAAAAAAGATTAGACGAATGGCTAACTAGAATAACCAATGCAGAGAAGTCCTTAAAGGACCTGATGGAGCTGAAAACCATGGCACGAGAACTACGTGACAAATGCACAAGCTTCAGTAGCCGATTTCATCAACTGGAAGAAAGGGTATCAGTGATGGAAGATCAAATGAACGAAATGAAGCCAGAAGTGAAGTTTAGAGAAAAAAGAATTAAAAGAAACGAACAAAGCCTCCAAGAAATATGGGACTATGTGAAAAGACCAACTCTACGTCTGATTGGTGTACCTGAAAGTGACGGGGAGAATGGAACCAAGTTGGAAAACACTCTGCAGGATATTATCCAGGAGAACTTCCCCAACCCAGCAAGGCAAGCCAACATTCAAATTCAGGAAATACAGAGAACACCACAAAGATACTCCTCAAGAAGAACAATTCCAAGACACATAATTGTCAGATTCACCAAAGTTGAAATGAAGGAAAAAATGTTAAGGGCAGCCAGAGAGAAAGGTCGGGTTACCCACAAAGGGAAGCCCATCAGACTAACAGCGGATTTCTTGGCAGAAACTCTCTACAAGCCAGAAGAGAGTGGGGGCCAATAGTCAACATTCTTAAAAGAATTTTCAACCCAGAATTTCCTATCTAGCCAGACCAAGCTTCAGAAGTGAAGGAGAAATAAAATACTTTACAGACAAGCAAATGCTGAGAGATTTTGTCACCAGCAGGCCTGCCCTAAAGAGCTCCTGAAGGAAGCACTAAACATGGAAAGGAACAAACGGTACCAGCCACTGCAAAAACATGCCAAATTGTAAAGACCATCGAGACTAGGAAGAAACTGCATCAACTAACGAGCAAAATAACCAGCTAACATCATAATGACAGGATCAAATTCACACATAACAATATTAACCTTAAATGTAAATGGGCTAAATGCTCCAATTAAAAGACACAGACTGGCAAATTGGATAAAGAGTCAAGACCCATCAGTGTGCTGTATTCAGGAAACCCATCTCACATGCAGAGACACACATAGGCTCAAAATAAAGGGATGGAGGAAGATCTACCAAGCAAATGGAAAACAAAAAAAGGCAGGGGTTGCAATCCTAGTCTCTGATAAAACAGACTTTAAACTAACAAAGATCAAAAGAGACAAAGAAGGCCATTACATAATGGTAAAGGGATCAATTCAACAAGAAGAGCTAACTATCCTAAATATATATGCACCCAATACAGGAGCACCCAGATTCATAAAGCAAGTCCTTAGTGACCTACAAAGAGACTTAGACTCCCACACAATAATAATGGGAGACTTTAACACCCCACTGTCAACATTAGACAGATCAACGAGACAGAAAGTTAACAAGGATATCCAGGAATTGAATTCAGCTCTGCACCAAGTGGACCTGATAGACATCTACAGAACTCTCCACCCCACATCAACAGAATATACATTCTTCTCAGCACCACACCACACCTATTCCAAAATTGACCACATAGTTGGAAGTAAAGCACTCCTCAGCAAATGTAAAAGAACAGAAATTATAACAAACTGTCTCTCAGACCAAAGTGCAATCAAACTAGAACTCAGGATTAAGAAACTCACTCAAAACTGCTCAACTACATGGAAACTGAACAAGCTGCTCCTGAATGACTACTGGGTACATAACGAAATGAAGGCAGAAATAAAGATGTTCTTTGAAACCAACGAGAACAAAGACACAACATACCAGAATCTCTGGGACACATTTAAAGCAGTGTGTAGCGGGAAATTTGTAGCACTAAATGCCCACAAGACAAAGCAGGAAAGATCTAAAATTGACACCCTGACATCACAATTAAAAGAACTAGAGAAGCAAGAGCAAACACATTCAGAAGCTAGCAGAAGGCAAGAAATAACTGAGATCAGAGCAGAACTGAAGGAAATAGAGACACAAAAAACCCTCCAAAAAATCAATGAATCCAGGAGCTGGTTTTTTGAAAAGATCAACAAAATTGATAGACCACTAGCAAGACTAATAAAGAAGAAAAGAGAGAAGAATCAAATAGGCACCATAAAAACTGATAAATGGGATATCACCACTGATCCCACAGAAATACAAACTACCATCAGAGAATACTATAAACACCTCTACACAAATAAACTAGAAAATCTAGAAGAAATGGATAAATTCCTCGACACATACACCCTTCCAAGAATAAACCAGGAAGAAGATGAATCTCTTAATAGACCAATAATAGGCTCTGAAATTGAGGCAATAATAGCTTACCAACCAAAAAAAGTCCAGGACCAGACGGATTCAAAGCCAAATTCTACCAGAGGTACAAGGAGGAGTTGGTACCATTCCTTCTGAAACTATTCTAATCTATAGAAAAAGAGGGAATCCTCCCTAATTCATTTTCTGAGGCCAGCATCATCCTGATACCAAAGCCTGGCAGAGACACAACAAAAAAAGAGAATTTTAGACCGAGATCCCTGATGAACATTGATGCAAAAATCACCAATGAAATACTGGCAAACCGAATCCTTCAGCACATCAAAAAGCTTATCCACCATGATCAAGTGGGCTTCATCCCTGGGATGCAAGGCTGGTTCAACACACGCAAATCAATAAACATAATCCAGCATATAAACAGAAACAAAGACAAAAACCATATATCAATAGATGCAGAAAAGGCCTTCGAAAAAATTCAACAGCACTTCATGCTAAAAACTCTCAATAAGGTATTGATGGGACGTATCTCAATAAGTGCTATTTATGACAAACCCACAGCCAATATCATACTGAATGGACAAAAACTGGAAGCATTCCCTTTGAAAAACGGCACAAGACAGGGATGCCCTCTCTCACCACTCCTATTCAACAGAGTGTTGGAAGTTCTGGCCAAGGCAAACAGGCAGGAGAAAGAAATAAAGGGTATTCAATTAGGAAAAGAGGAAGTCAAATTGTCCCTCTTTGCAGATGGCATGATTGTATATCTACAAAACCCCATCGTCTCAGTCCAAAATCTCCTTAAGCTGATAGGCAACTTCAGCAAAGTCTCAGGATACAAAATCAATGTACAAAAATCACAAGCATTCTTATTCACCAATAACAGACAGAGAACCAAATCATGAGTGAACACCCATTCACAATTGCTACAAAGAGAATAAAATACCTGGGAATCCAACTTACAAGAGATGTGAAGGACCTCTTCAAGGAGAACTACAAACCACTGCTCAACGAAATAAAACAACACACAAACAAGTGGAAGAACATTCCATGCTCATGGATAGGAAGAATCAATGTCGTGAAAATGGCCATACTGCCCAAAGTAATTTATAGATTCAATGCCATCCCCATCAAGCTACCAATGACTTTCTTCACAGAATTGGAAAAAACTACTTTAAAGTTCATATGGAACCAAAAAAGAGTCTGCATTGCCAAGTCAATCCTAAGCCAAAAGAACAAAGCTGGAGGCATCACGCTTCCTGACTTAAAACTATACTACAAGGCTACAGTAACCAAAACAGCATGGTACTGGTACCAAAACAGAGATGTAGACCAACGGAACAGAATAGAGCCCTCGGAAATAATACCACACACCTACAACCATCTGATCTTTGACAAAACTGACAAAAACAAGAAATCGGGAAAGGATTTCCTATTTAATAAATGGTGCTGGGAAAACTGGCTAGCCATATGGAGAAAGCTGAAACTGGATCCCTTCCTTACACACTATACAAAAATCAATTCAAGATGGATTAAAGACTTAAATGTTAGACCTAAAACCATAAAAACCCTAGAAGAAAACCTAGGCAATACCATTCAGGACATAGGCATGGGCAAGGACTTCATGACTAAAACACCAAAAGCAATGGCAACAAAAGCCAAAATTGACAAATGTGATCTAATTAAACTAAAGAGCTTCTGCACAGCAAAAGAAACTACCATCAGAGTGAACAGGCAACCTACAGAATGGGAGAAAATTTTTGCAATCTACTCAGCTGACAAAGGGCTAATATCCAGAATCTACAAAGAACTCAAGCAAATTTACAAGAAAAAAACAAACAACCCCATCAAAAAGTGGGCGAAGGATATGAACAGACACTTCTCAAAAGAAGACATTTATGCAGCCAACAGACACATGAAAAAATGCTCATCATCACGGGCCATCAGAGAAATGCAAATCAAAACCACAATGAGATACCATCTCACACCAGTTAGAATGGGAATCATTAAAAAGTCAGGAAACAACAGGTGCTGGAGAGGATGTGGAGAAACAGGAATACTCTTACACTGTTGGTGGGACTGTAAACTAGTTCAACCATTGTAGAAGACAGTATGGTGATTCCTCAGGGATCTAGAACTAGAAATACCATTTGACCCCGCAATCCCATTACTGGGTATATACCCAAGGGAATATAAATCATGCTGCTATAAAGATACATGCACACATATGTTTATTGTGGCACTATTCACAATAGCAAAGACTTGGAACCAACCCAAATGTCCAACAATGATAAACTGGACTAAGAAAATGTGGCACGTATACACCATGGAATACTATGCAGCCATAAAAAATGATGAGTTCATGTCCTTTGTAGGGATATGGATGAAGCTGGAAACTATCATTCTCAGCAAACTATCGCAAGGACAAAAAACCAAACGCCGCCATGTTCTCACTCATAGGTGGGAATTGAACAATGAGAACACTTGGACACAGGAAGGGGAACATCACACTCTGGGGCCTGTTGTGGGGTGGGGGAAGGGAGAGGGGGGAGGGATAGCATTAGGAGATATACCGAATGTAAACGACAAGTTAATGGGTGCAGCACACCAACATGGCACATGTATACGTATGTAACAAACCTGCACGTTGTGCACATGGATCCTAGAAGTTAAAGTATAATAAAAAATATATATATAAAAAAAGAAAAAGCAGAGGGAAACTTAGTTGAATCATAAACACCTCAAATGCAAATGTATCATTGTCTTAATATGATTCACATAAGGTTAAATCCTAAAAGAAATAAAGGTAATTGAATTTAAAAAAATAAAATAAATAAAATAAAATCCCTTTTCTCTCCAAAAAAAAAAAAAATCTATAAGCCCTACCTGTGAGCAGAAATAGTTAGCTTGCCTTTTTTTTTCTTCCTTGCTTTCATAATTTTCAAGGTTTTAATGACTTAGGATTTTAAATGTATATAAATAAATATTTAAATGTATATTATTTAATATATTTAGCATTATTTATCTACTCTTTAGGGAATAATTTTCATAATCATATTAATAAAAATTGTTTAGACTTCTATGTCTTGTATGGTCCATGGCCAATTCTATGAAACCACAACTTCCTAATTCATGATATGATTATATGTCCAGAACCACTCGAAAAGATTCAAGTTTTTCGAGAAG
This sequence comes from Homo sapiens, assembly GCF_000001405.40. Classification (NCBI taxonomy): domain Eukaryota; kingdom Metazoa; phylum Chordata; class Mammalia; order Primates; family Hominidae; genus Homo; species Homo sapiens. Next base: position 93,389,478 of record NC_000015.10, on the reverse strand, counting down.
AGTTTATAAATAGCGTTTGACATTTTGGAGCCCCTGGGGTGGGTCTGGAAGTTTCTTTTACAGGCAGGGCCAATTTCTCCATTACGCTCAGTGGACACAGTGCCAAGAGCCTAAGATAATTTCAGGAACTCCTAAAAAATATTTTCTTTAAAAATTGGGAGAAAAAATGAATGTGATCCAGCCTGGATTCTACTAGTCATTTTTTTTTTTTTAAAGGTGGGGTCTTGCTCCGTCACCCAGGCTAGAGTGCAGTAGCTCAATCACAGCTCACTGCAACCTTGACTTCCCAGGCTCAAGCGATCCTCCTGCCTCAGTCTCCAGAGTAGCTGGTACTACAGGTGCACCACCATGCCCAGCTAATTTTATTTTTGTATGTGCGTGGAGTTGGGATTTCACTGTGTTGCCCAGGCTAGTCTCAAGCTCCGGGACTCAAGCAATCCTCCCACATCATCCTCCCGATGTGCCAGGATTACAGGTATGAGCCTCTGCACCCAGCTGTCTTTACAAAGATAACTTGTAATGTCTTTTTGTAAAGGAAGAGGCCCACCAAGGCAAAAGTGTCCAGGGCACAGGACAGTCATGTGGCTCTGCATACAGGAAGGACTCTGCAGTCTTTCCCATCAAAACTCTGCAGACTTGATTCAATTGCCTTTCTATGCTATTGATTTAGAAAATGATGGATTTGGTTTATTGATATTTAATCTGCTCTTTTCATCCTGCATATTTTTTATATGCAAAACTTTACCAGTATGGCTCTAGATGATTATTTTCTTATCATGGGTTTTATCTAATGTACAGGAAAGACTCTGATGTGTTCCTTCAACTCAGACAAGTTGATGTCCATTTATTTGACTACTGTTTCTGCTTTCTTTCTTGAATTTTTGTTTTGTATGCATCACATCTTCTAGACAAGTGCTCACAACTCTTATCCATTCTCTCATTTTAGATTGACTCCTGGGAAAATTTCTCAAGCTGGTATTTTTACTGATTAAATTCCTAGAGTCTCCAATTTGCTGTTTATTGCCTCACGCCACTGCACTCCAGCCTGGGCAACAGAGCAAGACTCCGTCTCAATAAAAAAATAAAATAAATAAAATAAAAATAAAAAAATTAGCCAGACCTGGTGGCAGGTGCCTGTAATTGGCATTTTAAATTTAACAAAGTTTTCCTCTCCTTGCAGGATTTCCTGCTCTCAACTGTTCCTTCTTTGTGACAAGCAATTACCATAGAGATAATTCTATCTTGAATCTTGTTGCATATCTAGTCCATGTTTCTCAATGTTCTTTTCTGCAACTTTTATTAACAATATGCTATGGTCTGAATGTTTGTGTACTCCAAAAATGTATATGTTGAAACCTAATCCTCATTGTCATAGGAGGTGGGGACTTTGGGAGATGATCAGATCATGACAGCACAGCCCTCATGAATGAGATCGTGCCCCATAGTAGTTCCCCATAAGGGGCTAAAGCGACCAAAGTTCCCTGCTTCCATGATGTGAGGATAGATGAGTAAGTCATCATCTTCCCATCTGGAAGAGGGCCCTCCGCAAAACCTGACCATGCTGGCAGCCTGATCTTGGACTTCCGGCCTCCAGAACTGTGAAAAATAAATTTCCATTGCTTATAAGCCACCAGGTCTATGGTATTTTGTTATAGCAGTCTGAACAGACTAAGACACAAGAGTAATCATTTACTGTAATTCTTCAGTGCAAAGCATTTTTTAAAATATGTTCAGTAATGATTTTCTCCTTTTTCTCAATTTATAGAGAAAGGAATTTGCTTATCCATCACTGGCATTTGAGATGATTTCTGCCTAAGAACATAAAAGCCTCTGGTCATATCAGTCTGGCCCAAATTAAGAAAAGAGGGCACATATTTGAATAAAGTGTGGTATTACTTTGCTCTTTGAAAAGTAATTTCTTGCTGTTGGTTGCCTAGGACCAACAGCTATTGCAGCTTCAAGGAGCTTCATCAGCATGTCCTAGAAATTCCTGTCTGTATTCTGGCCAGCAATTAGGCATCACTCAGGCCATAGCACCCACTCATTGTCTAGAAAAGCTGTTCTCAGTAGGAGTCAGCCATGCGCTCTGTTGGCCACTGACACCCAGGACTGGCAGGAACACATGCCTCTAGGGGCTCATGCAGCCTGCAATGCCTGGTGAACTTCCAGGAGGAGAGGGTGGGATGGAGAAGAGTCTGCCAAGGCTCTGTGGCCTATCCTCTCTGCCAGCCCTAGCCCCACCAAGGAAGAGGACACAGGTCTTCAATTCCTTTTCTGTGTCCTTTGGGGCCAGCTGTGTTTCAGAACTCAGAACATAGAAAGGTAGACACAGGAGAAGGACAACTGTGATAACAGGAAAGCATCTTGGAGAGCTACTGTGGAGTGTAAGTTACACTTCCAAGATGTGTCACCTGAGGCCAGGAAACTGGAGCATCCATTCAGTCATTAGTTAAGGGCTGGGGGGAAAGGTAAGGCGTACGTTCTCAGGTACTATAGTTACAGCACTTCCAATGATTCAGGCACAAAGTCTACACTAGCCGCCTTGAGGGCAGTCCTCCCAGAAAGGGCCTCAGGTCTCAAGAACTGGCCCTGGAAAGTGAAAGCCCATGAAAACAAAATTCTAAAAACAGACCCCAGGGCTCTGGGCAGACTATCTACACAGCCCACCATACGCACTCACGGACATCCCAAGAAGGTTTCAGACAACTTCGTAAAATCAAGAAAACATTCTGCAAATATAGGGAGAGTTCCAGTGAGTGAGATAAAGTGTATAAAATCATATAAATCCTATTAGAGTTTTTCCATAGTTAATGTATATTGTTATAAACTGTTTGGTGACACCGGGCATGGTGGCTCATGCCTGTAATCTCAACACTTTAGGAGGCCGAGGTGGGTGGATCACCTGAGGTCAGAAGTGCGAGACCAGCCTGACCAACAAGGTGAAACATCGTCACTAATAAAAATACAAAAATTGGCCGGGCGCAGTGGCTCACGCCTGTAATCCCAGCACTTTGGGAGGCCGAGGCAGGTGGATCACGAGGTCAAGAGTTCAAGACTAGCCTGGCCAACATGGTGAAACCCCGTCTCTACTAAAAATACAAAAAATAGCCAGGCCTGGTGGCAGGTGCCTGTAATCCCAGGTACTCAGGAGGCTGAGGCAGAGAATTGTTTGAACCCAGGAGGCGGAGGCTGCAGTGAGCCAAGATCATGCCACTGCACTCCAGCCTGGGCAACAGAGCGAGACTCCATCTCAATAAAAAATAAAATAAAATAAAAATAATTAGCCGGACATGGTGGCAGGCGCCTATAATCCCAGCTGCTCAGGAGGCTGAGGCAGGAGAATCGCTTGAACTCGGGAAGCAGAGGTTTCAAGGAGCCGAGATCGCACCACTACACCCCAGCCTGGGCGACAGAGCAAGACTCTGTCTCAAAAAATAAAATAAATAAATAAACTGGTTGGTGAAATAATGTGATATAGACCATAAATACTATTTTTTTGTTTTGTTTTGAGACGGAGTCTCGCTCTGTCGCCCAGGCTGGAGTGCAGTGGCGCCATCTCGGCTCACTGCAAGCTCCGCCTCCCGGGTTCACACCATTCTCCTGCCTCAGCCTCCGCAGTAGCTGGGACTACAGGTGCCCGCCACCACGCCCGGCTAATTTCTTTTTGTATTTTTAGTAGAGACCGGGTTTCACCGTGTTAGCCAGGATGGTCTCGATCTCCTGACCTCGTCATCCGCCCGCCTCGGCCTCCCAAAGTGCTGGGATTACAGGCGTGAGCCACCGCGCCCGGCCTGCTCTAATTCTTTCTTTAAGGCATCATTCATTATAACCTCAAGCTCACGTTGAATCAAACTAGGCTAAGTGCTTCCACCTCTGCGTCTGACGAAGCATTGGTGTCATCCGGGGTTCTTGTCATGAGCAGGCTAGCGTTGGACATGGATGCTGGGCTGGGAGCACGTGCTCAGGTGAAGAAGCAGCACCACGAATGATTTTTAAAACTCTTCCTGTGTCCTTGCTCTCACTAATCATGTGTTTCTAAATAGTCCCTAACTGAGTAAACAGCCATCATCCCTTATTTACAGGTAAATGTGTATTGTCCAGGACAGAAATTAATCCATCACACTTTTCACCATTTAATCCACTGAATTTTTTTTTCCTGTGTTCACAGAGTCATGACTATGATCCATCACAGTTCAGGTTATTCAGGTTACATTTTGTGGCCAAAATCAGTTTTGGTGCCAATTTTGATGGACAGCAAAAGCTATGCGTTTTCAAATCTACTCACATTTTGGAATCTCAGATATGAGATTGCAGCCCTGTACTAGCAATGTTTCTTGAGATCCCTCCCACTCACCTCCCAAGCAAGCTGTTCATTCACACAAAGGGAAGCCCAGGCAAACTCCTCCTCCATCCAGCAGTACCAATCCTGCAGAGATTCCTCAACATTTCCAGAATGCAGGTGTCACGCTATAGCACTGGAGCAGGCTCTGGTTTTCTTCCCAGTGGAAATTAGGGAGGGGAAGAAATTAAATATGTGTTCTCAGATGATCCTCCTATCTAAAAGTCCTGTTTATGGTATATAACCCTGGAAGTGTGAGGGGTTTTAAGAACCACATACTTTCCAATAAAGTCCTACTTTACTAATCAAGACCTCTTTATTGCTACCAGAAAGTAATACATTCTCTCATATTAACTGCAGTGCCTGCCAGTGTGTGAATATGAATTTGCTGTTTCATGTTTCTTGGACTTGTTTTATTTAAAAACACCTTTCCAAAGGCAAACTCTTTGAAGCTGCTACTGTGTGGTTTATCATATAGCTGGCGACTTTTATGTGTCAGGAACATTTACCTATTGTTAATTGATGCCAACCAATCATTCAAAGAACCAAATATAAGCACTGCTTTGGCAATTTGGAAATCAGAAGTTTTTTTCTGGATTTAGAGGACAAAACACTAATCCATCACTGTGTCTATCCAATTGGAAATGGCTCATTCTTCTATAGCAGCAAAATCATGAAAGAACTCTTACCAGGGAAAACATCAGCTTATGAAAAATAGAAAGTTATTTTTCTCCATTGCCTATCATAAAAAACAACCTCTGAATACTTATTGGTATGTCCAACAGAAATGACAGTCTCAGCACACTTGGTCTTAACTTAGTTGGTGGAAGGTTTAATTCACTGTAGGCCAGAGTTAAAAAGATAACCAGGAAACCAGGTTGGAATGCACTCCAATCTAGGCACAAAACTCTAAACCAGATCTTACATATGAAAAATTATCAGACCAGCAATGAAACTTTGGTCTTTATCTCAAGCTTTCACATAACTTGGGACCCAAATTTTGGACAAAGAAAAGTTTTAGGATTAGAACCCAGGATAGCAAGGGCCTTGAAGCTAGGTAGCCTTGACTTCACCAATTCTGGGTCTAGCTTTAGAAATGTATCTCTAAACTGTTTGCTCATCATGGAAGTGTGTCTCTTTCCATTTGTTGCAAAAATCAAATCAGAGAACTTTTTTTTTTTTTTTTTTTTTTTTGAGAGGGAGTGTCACTCTGTTGCCCAGGCTGGAGTGCAGTGGTGCAATCTCGGCTCTCTGCAAGCTCCACCTCCCGGGTTCATGCCATTCTCCTGCCTCAGCCTCCCGAGTAGCTGGGACTACAGGCGCCCGCCACCACGGCCGGCTAATTTTTTTTTTTTTTTTGTATTTTTAATAGAGACAGGGTTTCACCGTGTTAGCCAGGATGGTGTTGATCTCCTGATCCGCCCACCTCAGCCTCCCAAAGTGCTGGGATTACAGGCATGAGCCACCACACCCAGCCAGAGAACATTCTTGAAAGCACTGAACACCATACTTGGCACAGAGACGGCACTCAGAAGAGGTTGCCGTCATTCGTCATGAAGGAAAAATTCTCACCCCACGTATTGGCGATTCCTTCTCGTCAAAAGACCAAGATATATTATAGCTATTATGCCCTTCTGTCTCCAGTGTTTTCTATAGAAGTTGATTAGAAATGTGGCTTGCACATTGACGGTGCCCAATCAGCCATCAGCTTACACACAAACCAGCTGCAGGGCCAACCTGCTGGAGCCCAGCATGGTCAGAGCTCTTACCCAGAGCCACAGAGGAAGCACTTTGCCTCCACATGCCTGACACTGAGTGGGGAGTCAGGACTCAGCTCCAATAAGAGTCCTTGTCTTCAAAAGAGCTCGCGTAGGCAGTGGGACAAGGCAGCCAATGTCAAGTGTCATAAGAGAAATACAAAAATGAGAGCCTTGGGCTCCCTAAGTCCAGCATTTGGGCAGAGACTTGAAAACAAAATTTGAAAGAGTAATTGGAGGGTGAAATATTGCAGACTGAAGAAGAAGAAGGGTTGCTTCCCTGTCATCAGCAGAATTATCAGGAAAAGACAACACTGAATAAACAGAGCCCATTGGGCCAGGCTGGCCTCTGGGGTGTAGGTGTGCAAGGTGAGGGTACACGTGCACAAGCGCTTTTGTGTTCTGTTCCCTCTGGAATTTCAGCTTTGCTTCTCATTTGCCTCCTTACAACATAAGTTTAGAAATACATTTAAAAGGGATTTTTCTGTCTGCTGAGGGCTAAAGGGAGAGTGGACAAAAACGCATTAAGAAGATGCTTCCCCTTGAGCAATTTTTATGCATTCAGTTGCTGTAACTTGAAAGAACACCTCACATCCCTTTGAGTGACCCAGAAAGAGACACAGGGCATGGAATCTCTTAATCTTCTCTCTCCTAAGGTACTGCTTTAGGAGCAGAGTGTGGGTCATTGCAGCTGCCACCAGTAGTCTTTGGCGGAGGTCACTCCAGAAAGTTTCACCCCAGCTGGAATATCTGTGGCTCCCAGATATTTCGTTCTGGCTCAGCCTTCCTGTCTGTGCCAACCACGATGATTAAAAATGTGTCCAAAGTAAACCTCAGACAACTGGACCTTCCTCAGCAACGTGGGGGGCACTTGGTGTTAGAGGGTGGTCCCTGGGTTGCTGCAAACGTTGCCCCAGGTGCTCGGCAGCTGGCTGCAATGGCTCGTGAAATTCTATCCTTCCAGCTCCCAGCATGCTGAAAAGTAACCCAGGGAAGCCAACAGCCTTGTCCCACCTGTGGAAATTAATGGTGCCAGCTCAGCATATTGGCAGAGAAAGGAAATTTACACAGCAAACAAACTGCTGAAAAATTGGAAATATTTGCTTAACAGAAGCACATTGATTAAAGTCACTCCGAGATCAAATTACTCTCCCAGCCTGGGCAATTTCATCCCGGAGGGCAGCAGACTTATACTGGCAAAATATTGATGAAAAGCTCTCACTATGTCTAGAGGTACCATATTAGGGGTGTTAATCTCAGAAGTGGCCCATAATTTTTCTTTTACACCCAGACTCTTCATTTGAAAGAGTTTAATTCTAATACAAATAGTAATAAGGAAATAAAAGCATTGATGTATGTCTTTCCAATATCCGTCTTTGGTAAGAACTTTTCACTTCTATGGTCAATTAAAGCTCATCTTAAATAAAAAGTTAAGCTCATTCCAGCAGACTTCCAAGGTTACTTGGTTTCTCAAATCTTCCTCAATTTCAAAAAAAAAAAATAAAGGTACAGCTAAAGCCACTCCTTAACAATAAAGACAAGCAAACCACCAAATAAATATGTATAGCATGAGTTATAATGAAGGAGAGAAATTAGCAATTCCAAGAAGGGTCCTTCCACTGGTTCCTGAAGAGAAGGGCATTGGAGTGCTGGTCTGAGGTCAGCCAGATGCTTAGGGAAGTTCTTCAGGGGTTTGAAGAGGTAGATTAAGGTCTCCTCGGATCCCTGCTGCTGCCAGCTGAGACACTGATTCCTCATTACAGCCCTAACAATAACCCACATCCAATCTGCCAAAGGATTTGAAACAATCCATGAAGGGGCAAATATTTGCTTTGCACACTTCTGCTGCTTCTTTTGGTAAGAATAAAATTATTTGTTAAATGGATGAGTAATTGTGCATATTTGTGGAGTGCATTGTGATGTTTCTATACATATAATTGTATAGATTATACATATAAGGGATACACAATTACAACTAAATAGGAGGAATAAGTTCTAATGTTCTATATCACTGTAAGATGACTATAGTTACCAATGATATATGGTTTCAAATAGCTAGAAGGAGGATATTAAATGACCTCAACACACACACACAGAAAGATAAATGTTTAAGATGATGCATATGATAATGACCCTGAGCACTTGTGTACTCTACTTCCGCTTCTTAAGGTCAGCCATGATGAAACGGACTTTCTCAAACTCTGGCTCAGGTGGGCTTCCTTTGTGGTCCTCTCACAAATGAAGGAGCCCAAATGCATGCTGGAAAAGAACACTCCAATGTGCGCCTCTTCACCCCTGTACACCTAAATATGCAGTAGCTGCAAGACACAAGGGCTTCAGGGTTGCAAGAGAAAGCACTTGGGGGCCAGCTGACTGTAAGCCTGCTCTGCCCTGACTCCAACAAACAGGATGCTCTGGGCTGCCCACCACTTCTTGCAGACCTGGAATCGCCCTCCCTTTTTCACCCCCAAGGGGAGCCCCCAGGCCACCGGAACACGCAATGCTTCCCTTGACTCAGCCACCTGTCTCCAGCCTAGGACAGTCTGAACTGGCAGTCTGCACACCTGAATTACAATGACAATGAATGCTCCAAGGAGGAACCCTCGTGAGCAAATGGAAAGCTCCCTACACTCTGCCAGAAGTCATAGATCCACTCCTCCCACCCAATTGCCTGCCTCTGAAGAGAGGATGGAACCCGCCATGCCCGTGCACACGCACACACATGTACAAGTGCACGCACACACACGATCATAACAACAGGCACTTAGATGGGATTTGAAAAGGATTTTGCTTATATTAACTCATCAGGAACAGGGGTGGGGTGACGGTGGGCAGGGAATGGCAATGATGGGGTGGAGGGAGGTAGAAGGTGTGGAGACGGTGGGGCAGGGAGAGATGGAGGAACCCAGAGGCCGGAGGGAAGCCACCATGCTTAAGCACCTGGGTTCCAGGTACTGCTCTGGGTGTGCTTTCTTCATTTATCTCACTTAATTCTCACAGCACTCCTGTGAGAAGCTTAGGTTCAACCCTGGCTGCACATTACAGTCACCTGGGAAATCTTTTAAGTAACACAGTAGCTGAGCTCCAACAACCTGGATCAATTGAATCAGAATCTCTAGGGGTAGAACCCAGCTAGCCACGGTTTTGTTGTTGTTGTTTTGAGAGTCTCGCTCTGTTGCCCAGGCTGGAGTGCGCTGGTGGGATCTTGGCTCAGTGCAACCTCTGCCTCCTGAGCTTAATTGATCCTCCCACCTCAGCCTCCCAAGTAGCTGGGACTACAGGCGTGCACCACCACACCTGGCTAATATCTGTAGTTTTTGTAGAGATGGGGTTTCACCATGTTGCCCAGGCTGGACTCAGACCCCTGGGCTCAAGCAATCTGCCTGCCTCGGTGTCCCAAAATGCTGGGATTACAGGTGTGAACCACTGCACCTGGCCAGCCATGGTTTTTTGTTTGTTTTTTTGAGACGGAATTTCAGTCTTATTGCCCAAGCTGGAGTGCAATGGTGTGATCTCGGCTCACCACAACCTCTGCCTCCTGGGTTCAAATGATTCTCCCCCCTCAGCCTCCCGAGTAGCGGGGATTACAGGCATGCACCACCACGCCTGGCTAATTTGTGTGTTTTTAGTAGAGACGGAGTTTCTCCATGTTGGTCAGGCTGGCCTCGAACTCTCGACCTCAGGTGATCCGCCTGCCTCAGTCCCCCCAAAAGTGCTGGGGATTATAGGCATGAGCCACCATGCCCAGCCCTAGCCATGGTTTTTAAAAGCATCCCAGGCAATTCCACTGAGCAGCCAGGATTGAGAATCGCCATACCAAAGAACCTCTAAGCTCCTTTTCCACTGCTATACTATGAAATACTGCCCTTCCCCCACCCACACCCTGCACCCCTGGCTCTAGGCCTGTCTAGACCTATAGCCAGGCAATAAAATGCCACCCAGAGAAACTGGGGATTTTTGCTTTGCAAGTTTCGGTAAAGAAGTGAATTTGAATCAAATTTTACTTTCTTAAACTCTTTAAATTCCTAAGGCTTGCTTCAGTCTTGAAAATATAGGATCACGTATCTTAGAAGATTTGCAGTTTTGGGGATAATTTCTTTTTCCCTTTTCACCTAGATGTGGAGCTACTGCATTAGACCTCACTCCTCGTTTGATTATGACATGCAGTGAGCAGCCAAATGTCATTTTGAAGAATAATTTTTTTTGGCTTAGGAGAAAATGCATGCTCTAGTTCCTGATAATTGATTTGCAAGGTTCCAATTTAAGCAGCAAATTGCTCCCGTTACCCAGGTATTTCATATCTTATATGGGCACTTAGATAGAAAACTCAATATTCCTTATGCTGACCAGGAAATGGCAGGAAAAATTGCAGTTTAAATTTTGGATCCTTTCTCTATTTATATTTTAATATCATTCTAAGAAGTCTTGGTTACAAATGTATCAGGGCAGTTAAAACATAATAGTGTCTTTTAAGTGGCCTTGTTTCCCCAGGAAAGGCTCAGCCCTCTCTCTAGCCATGTAATTAATCCTGATAATAACACCACCTGAGCCCAGGAGTGAGTCAAGCTGGAGGACTTTAATTTACCATCAAGGAAAAGGAGAGCCTGAGGTTTGCTCAGCTGTCAGTGATGGAACCAGGGCAAGAAGCCAGGCTCCCTCAGCACCAAAACAAGACAAAGAGCCGGAGACCCAGGGCAGGATTCCCGGCTTTCCAACCCCAGCTCGGAAGCTTGTTCCAAACATAAAACTTTGAGAAAAGCCACGTCCTCCCCTCTGTAGGCCACGGTTCTCTCCTTCGTAAAAAGAACAGGTTGCGGGCCGGGCACGGTGGCTCATGCCTGTAATCCCAGCACTTTGGGAGGCCGAGGCGGGTGGATCACGAAGTCAGGAGATCGAGACCATCCTGGCTAGCACGGTCAAACCCGTCTCTACTAAAACTACAAAAGATTAGCCAGGCGTCGTGGCGGGTGCCTGTAGTCCCAGCTACTCGGGAGGCTGAGGCAGGAGAATGGTGTGAACCCGGGAGGCGGAGCTTGCAGTGAGCCGAGATCGCGCCTCTGCACTCCAGCCTGGGCGACAGAGCGAGACTCTGTCTCAAAAAAAAAAAAAAAAAAAGAACAGGTTGCGGGAGAGAATCTCTGGTGTCTTTTCCAACATTAACAACCTGTGGCCTGAGCACCTCAGGCCCGAGGAGTGGTGAGGCACCAGCCTCAAGGTAGGGCCCATCCAGGCTTGACGGCCAACTTAGCCACTTAGCAACTGAATGGCTTTAACGATCATTTTCATCAATTGTAAAATTAAAACAATAAACAGCTGCCATCACACAAAGTTGTTGCTACCACTAACGTGTCAAAGTGCAGGAGACGCTCAGCCCAGCACCCGGCAGGGGGAGGTCCTTAAGCTCCCTGGGAAGATTTGCTCTTATGGAAAATGGGACCGGCCCACAGTCTTGTCTTTCTAACTGAACTCCCTGGTCCTTCTGTTATCCTCTCAAATTCACCACTAGATTATCTAGAAATACTCTGGACTTTCCTCGAGTGACCTCCCTAAGCAAGACAGGAAACCTTCCAAACTGGCCCACACTCCCGATGGGTTAGATCTGGCAACTCCAACATCCACGTGCATTCTGCTGTCCAGAGACCACTGCCCAAGAACAGAGTAGCTATGGGCTGCCCCCACTGCTGGGGAGAGGCTCTGTTCAGAGCCCATCTCTCTCTCTCTCTCTCTCTCTCTCTCTCTCTCTCTCTCTTTCGTGTGTGTGTGTGTGTGTGTGTGTGTGTGTGTGTCACCCCCTCCCTTTCTCCACTTTCCCAAGTCATTCATTTTTACCCACTTTATATTCCATTTTCTTCCTGGCTCCTCCTTTATGGCTTCCGACCTTTTGTCCCCTTCTCCTATGAAGGGCCACACCTTGCTCCCAGGACTTGAGCTTAGCCCTTAGATGACACTAATTCCGGCTCTTTCAGGCACATATTTTGCCCCAATCTCTGGAGCATCACATCCCAACACAGATTACCCTCAGTGACTCTTCTGAATGAACCTCAGGTCCTTCAAAAGGATCTGGCCAAAACCATCCCACAAAAACTACAGAGGGGCAGGCAGTCCAGAAAGGGGAGAAGGCATTGAAATACCAGAGCTAGAATCCCTGCCATCTCCGAGTTGATAGGAAATATAAAACTATCCCATCCAGCATCTCATCTGATGTTCCAAAACCTACTACCACAGCTCTACCAAATGGTCCCCAAGATGGTTTTGGTTCATGTCCAATAATAAGGAATGCTTTACTGACCAACGATAGGTCCTTCACTTCTAGACAGCTCTGATCATTACAAATCCCTTCCTTAGACCATCTTCCTGTGGCCCCTCCCTCTGTAGAATTGGTTTGTTGGTGAAATGGGATCCCAATGTATGTGACCTTTCTTTGATACATCAGCCATGTCTTTCACTCATAGGTGTTTTCTCCCATCTCAAAGGGCTTTGGCCATCCTTGGCCCTCTTTAAGGAATTTGCTACCCTGCGTCCCACCCGCCAAGGCACTGGGTGTGGCATGAGCAGAATATAACAGAGAACTCTCCCACCCCTGCTTTGAGCACCTGTATCTGCAAACACTGCCTGGCCCGAGGCAGTCCCATCCCGCAGTGTGCTCATTTGAATGTGTTCTCTATCACATTGTTGGGTCCTTCCAATTTGGCATTTGGGTAAATGGTTTTTTGGACCCAGGCATTAGATTTTATTAGATTTTATTCTTATCTCTCTTTTTATTTCTATCTCATCTTGGTCTCCTGCAACACATGAATGGAGACATTGAGTCAGTATCACCAGGGAATTCTCAGACATGAGGTCCTTGGAGCCCAGTGGTGGTCAAACCTGCCTCCTCAGGTACAAGACTGAATCTCACCTTCAGATCTCACTTTTGGATTGGCCCTTGAATCCACAGACACAGCATTCAAAGGGACCTCAGGTCATAGAATTTAACCCTCCCATTTTTCTGTTAAGGAAATGAGCCAAAGACTTCCTATGGCATATTTGATAGGGACCTGAAGTTTGCAAATCTGGGTTTAAATCCTGGCTTACTTTTTACTGTCTAGATGTCCTTGAGAAAGTGTATGAGCTTCCTAGGACTACTATAACATATTACCACAATCTATGTGGCTCAAAACAACAGAAATTTATTCCGTCACAATTCTGGAGACCAGAAGTCTGAAGTCAAGGTGCGGCAGGGTTGGTTCCCACTGGAGGCTCTACAGGAGAGTCTCTCCCACGCCTCTCTCCTGGGTTTTGGTGGCTTCTGCCAACCGTGGGTGTTCCTTGGTTTCTTGCTAAGGAACTCCAATCTTTGCCTTGTCTTCACATGGCTGCCTTCTCTGCGTGTCTTTGTGTCAGACCTCCCTCTCCTTCCCTGTAAAGAAAAGCCCACCCTAAATCCAGGAGGACTTCATCTGGAGATTCTCAACTTAATTATACGTATAAAGACCCTATTTCCAAATAAAGCCACACTCACAGGAACTAGGGTTTAAGACTTGGACAGATCTTTCTGGGGACACTATTCAACACATTGCACTTAGTAATGTTCTTTCCCATGAGTGAAATGGGAATATTTGAACCCTGTTGGAGGTAACACACTTCATGCAATTCCTGGCATGTAAAAGTTCATAATTTAATCCTATGTAAACTATAAACATTATGGTTATCATTATAATCAGTAAATGTTTTTGTGAGGTCAATAAATTAGTAGTGGCGGTGAGTGCACGCCCTCTGACCCCAAGCCCAGTGCTTTCCCAGAATTCCCTTTCGCCGTTATGGGAGAGTAGCCGAGCCCCTCAGCCTCAGGTATGTTCTTTCCATGTTGAGTTGTCTGAATTGTAACACTCAGGGTCAGCTTGGAAGACTGGAGAAACCAGCAGCCTGTGTGGGGCTTGAAGAATCTGAGGCAGAAGCCATATCCAGCAAATTGATGCGTAGCTTAGTCACAGTAGTGAATTGTGATGTTTAACTTCCAAACTGGAGAGGCTCCCTGTTCCCCTCATCCCCAGCCTTGGGGCGATGTGATCCTTCCTGACTGGTCACGGGAGCAACCTCATTCCACTGCAATCACGATGGTGGCTCATGCCTCAGATTTCATACCTAGCTTTGCTTAACGCCCCCGCCTCCCGCAAAAATCCCAGCCTTGCTTAGGGAGTATCCTCTCTTCTTTCCATTCCTGATCCCTCCATCTTCACTCCTCAACCTCCTTCCTGACCCCACTTGCCATTCTTCCAATCATTATTCCAGGCAGAGCAAGTCAACCTATACTTTCATGAAATCGCCACACTTGAAACCCACATTTTCACATAACATCAAAAATGCTTTTGTCCGCAGAACAAAGAAGTATAAAAACAATTGGAAAGGAGGGTTCTTTCCATAAGCCTAGCTACCAATTAGACGGTCATTTGCTGGAAGTACTGGATCTAGGGGAACCTGCCTATCCTCATATTCTTGACATCTATGATACACAGGGGGTTTGCGGCAGTGCCCCCCAAAACTCCACTCACCTCCACTAGGATGCCCTAAAACATTTCATTCTACCATTCTATCATCTGGACTGGCTTTTTCCTACCCCAGTCTCAGCCCCCAACCCCATCCTGCCTCTGCCTCCTTATCCTCTACTCATCTTTCAATTCCTGGCTCAGATGTCACTTTCTCAGGAAAGCCCCTCATCCCCTATAATATCCTCTTTCATGTCACTGTGCTCTCCTTCACGGCACTGAGCACACTATGAAATTATATGTTTATCTGTGCAATTATTTGATTAATGTCCAATAATGACAAGTAAGCCCCAGGTAACAGATGTGTTCATTATTTTTGCCACTGTATCCTGGAACGCATAATAAATGTTTGATGAGGCTTTATGAATGAATGAATGAATGAATGGAAAGCGCCTGTTGGGTTACAACATTCCTGTATTATGTATTTGCTTGAAATCTTTCTCTAGTTTACACACATGCATACAACCTCATCCAAAGCCTCTGTGCGTGGAAGAAAGGTAATTAAAGGCAGAGTGCAGTTATTCACTCCTGTAATCCCAGCGCTCTGGGAGGCCAGGAGTTCTAGACCAGCCTGGGCAACATGGAAAAACCCCAGCTCTACCAAAAATACAAAAATGAGCCAGTCTTATAAGCCCGTCTCTAAATAAATAATACAATTTTTAAAAAGGTAATTGAAGAATGAAGTTGGGATGAAGGCACTGTTTATACCACAGACAACTTCTGGTCAAATATTAATACCAGCCTCTCTTAAAAGTACCCTGCTCTGGGCCCTTGAACCCTGGCCAACGTGGGAATGTAACTGACAACTGCCACCTTTGGGAACATGCTGGGTCAGGAGCATGCTGCGAGCCTGTTCCTCACTCTCTGCCTTGCCACACTACTTTACCTCCCAGCCTACCAGACAAATTTCAAATAATGGCATTCACAGCAACCTGGATGGAATTGGAGACCATTATTCTAAGTGATAGAACCAGGAATGGAAAACCAAACATCGTGTGTTCTCACTTATATGTCAGAGCTAATCTATGAGGACCCAAAGGAGTAAGAATGACACATTAGACTCTGGGGACTCAAAGGAAGGGTCGGGGGGTGGTGAGGGATAAAAGACTACACATTGGGTACTGTGTACACTGCTTGGGTGATGGGCGGGTACATCAAAATCTCAGACATCACTGCTAAATAACTTATTCATGTAACCAAATACCACCTGTTCCCCAAAAACGTACTGAAGTAAAAAAATTAATTTAAAAAATAAAAATAAATATCATTTACCCATTACAAAACTAGTCGTCTTCTCTTATTCCTTTGTGGTTATAGCCTCACCATCCCAGGGACTGGACAGATGTTCCTAAGTGGAAGAGGAAAGGAAAAATGGGATCAGAATCTCAGGGACACCTTCGACTCCAATTGCCACTCCCTGCCTCACCACCACCAAGCCCTCCATCCCTTACACAGCGAGATCAAAGGTCTGAATCCGGAGACACCAGCCTGAGTTCCAACCAAGGTGACTGATTATGAGAAATGTCTGAGACTGGGAAGGGGGTCAAGCAAGGGTGATCAGGTAGGTGCTGCTTAAGGCTTAAATACCCCCAAGATATTATGGTATCATACCCACCAAAAGAGAGCCCTAAATAACAGTAACAACAAAAAATCTGTTAAATCAATCCCAGTGCCTTCTGCTTAGGAGAGGAAACGGGATTAGGATGCCCATGAAAGCAGCATGACCCGCCAGGGGGATATGTGTTAATCACCTCTTCCCGAGCTCCTGTCCCTTCCCTCCACCCGCTTCTCTTGCTCTCACACACAGAAAGGGGTAGCAATCACTTCAGCCATAGAAGGCCTGGATTCCAGGCTGCTGCCAAGAGAAACAGCCCACAAACAGGGAAGGGGAAGGTGGAGGCATCGGGATTTCACGCCACAGAATGTGTGTGTGTGGGCGGACATGGTCTAAAACGATGGGAGAAACTCGCTTTACAACTTTAATGGGGTAATAGGCCTCCTGTTAACATGATTATTATCTGATGCTATTTATTTGGAGTCTCTAAGGTATAGAAGAAAAATGTGGTTACACAGACACCTGCTTGCTCTATTCAAGGCTTTGAGGAGGGAAGGGACGATCGTGTATTGAGCAACAACCTGGGCCCTCTGCTGTGGACACATCCCAGCCTGGAGGCACCCTCCTCCTCCTTTTACAATGAAACTGAGGCTCCGAGAAGGAAAGCAACACGGGTTCCACCACAGAGTTACTTAGAGCCAAAGTTCCAATCAATGTCCGTCAGATTTTAAGCCCTCTGCCCCAACACCTCTTCTTTTGACGTAGGGACAAATCACCCTCATGTGAAGAGGAGCCCAGCACACACCGATAATTCCATGCTTCAATGCCTTTCATCACCTCAGCTGATAAATACTTGTTCTGACTGAGCAAACACACAAAGGAAACCAAAACAGATGGGCACAGAGTCCGTGAGAACTGATCGGGTCCCATTTGTCACAACCCTATTTTAGAAATCACCGCAGCAGGATATTAAACGTGAGCCTTTGTCTCAGCATTTCAGTTTTTTCTGGCAGCAGTCCCAGAGGCTGGGGACAACAGTAGGTGCCATGTGCCCCCATTAAATCACATGGTAGGTTCTCCTTCCAGGGGCCACCAAGCAGCTTCTGCCCACATGGACTGGTCACCATCAACTTCCCTGGAGGCACGGAGCTGGCTGTAGAGGTTCCCACCCATCTCCATAGGAGGGGGGACTGCGGTGTCTGTCCCTTCACCTCGAGCCGGTGAAGCAACATCAAAAGTATTAACACAGCATTTGAGGGTCGCAGCATCCATGGGATTGGATTGGCATCTTACTCCCACCTGGGAACAGCCAAGGGCGAGCAGCTGTAGATGATGCTCCCTGCCTGCTGGCAGAGCATTGAAAGCAAGTTGCTGCCGCAGGTGGTCAGGGAAAGGTAAGCGGCTTTTTCAGGGAAGACCTGGTGGAAGGTCCTGCCCAAGAGGACTCTCGATATATTAATTAATAACTGTAGCTTCATGTTAAATCTTTGTATCAGGCAAACATCCTCCTGGGTTTTCTTCTTCAGGAATGCCCTGGGTATACTCGGCCCCTTGATCTTCCATAGAAATTTCAGAACCAGTCTGTGGTCATCTAAAGGAGAGTCCAATTGGAATTTCTATAAATCAGTTTGGAGAATGTTAATCCCTTTATGACATCCAGACATCATATCTATAAACGTTGTGCTTCTTTTAAGTTTTTTAAAGACCTAAATAAAGTTGAATATGTTCTATCTGTAAAAGTCTTGAACATTTTAGATTTCCAAAGCACTTTACTTGTATTTGTTATTTTAAATTATGTCTTTTGAAATCACATATTCAAATGCTGGCCTAGAAATGCAATTTTGTTTTGTGTATTCATTTTATATCAGTATAAATTATTAATCTTAAAATTTGCCTATAGATCTTTGAGGTTTTCTGTATATTCATGTCCAAATGATGACAATCCTTATACTACTTTAATTTGCTACTTTATCTAGCATTACTGTACAAAGTTTAAAAGACGCAGCTAGAGCAGGAATGATTGTCTTGTTCCTAAATTGTCTTGGGCTGGGCGTGGTGTCTCACGCCTGTTATCCCCGGCGCTTTGGGAGGCCGAGGCAGGAGGATCACCTGAGGTCAGGAGTTCGAGACCAGCCTGGCCAACACGGTGAAGCCACATCTTTACTAAAAACACAAAAATTAGCCAGGCGTGGTGGCAGGTGCCTGTAATCCCAGCTACTCGGGAGCCTAAGGCAGGAGAATCACTTGAACCCAGGAGGCGGAGGTTGCAGTGAGTCAAGATTGTGCCACCGCACTCCAGCCTGGGCAACAGAGCCAGACTCTTTCTCAAAAAAATAAAAATAAAAATAAATTGTCTCTAATAGCTTATCATTAAGTATGAGATTAGTTGTAGATTATTTTGAGAAGTGCCTTCATCAGATTAAGAAAGCTCTCTTCTAGTTTATTAAGAATACTCATGAATAAATGCCAAATTATATTGAATAACTTTTCTACAAATATTGCAATAAATTTAATTAATGCAATTAATGAATAGCATTAATCCATTTTCATTTGAATCCATCTTATATTCTGCATTTACTCTGGTAAGACTTTTTTGCCCTAAAGCATATTTTGCCTGAAATTAATAAAGCTTCACAAATGAGCACTCACGGTCTACATGCTAAAAACTTTTTTCCATTTATATGTTTTAAAACTTTCTGGGTCCTCATGTTTCAAGTAAAAAGCATGTTACTGGGTTCTGTTTCTTTTTCATCTGTTCTGACAACCTGTCTCAACTGGCAAGTTTAAATCACTTATATTTATTTTGAATGCCGATATATTTGAGTCCATTTTAGTCTTTGTGCTTTCTATAAGTT
Source organism: Homo sapiens (assembly GCF_000001405.40). Taxonomy (NCBI): domain Eukaryota; kingdom Metazoa; phylum Chordata; class Mammalia; order Primates; family Hominidae; genus Homo; species Homo sapiens. The sequence goes on along the minus strand of NC_000015.10, from coordinate 93,370,447 downwards.
GCTTTTTTTATATTACTTTTTCTCTGTTTGCCTTCCTTGATTGTCTTATTCCATATTCTTCCTCTACTTGTGTGAAGTTCTAAGTTCTGTTTTACCTCTCTTGACTTTTGAGGAACTTGGGCTGTAGAAGTTCTTTGAAGCCTGAGTTAAGAGGTTATTTTTTCTTCAAAGAGGATTTGTAATTACTTTGGCAAAATGGCAGAAGGCATTGCCAAATCATTACTCCTTTTAACTCAGTTTTTGCTTGGGATCTTTTGGAATTCTTGGGTAGTGTAAATTCTATCCTCAAACGCATGTGAAAGTCAGATTGTGGGTCAGAATCCTCAGGAGACTTTTCTTTTTTTCTTTTTTTTTTTTTTTTGAGACAGAGTCTTGCTCTGTTGCCCAAGTTGGAGGGCAATGGCGTGATCTCGACTCACTGCAACCTCTGCCTCCTGGGTTCAAGCAATTCTCCTGTCTCAACCTCCCGAGTAGCTGGGACTACAGGCATGTGCCACAACGCCAAAAAAAAAAAAAAAAAAAAAAAAAAGAGCCAGGTGAGGTTTTGTTGTTTTTATTACTGTTTTTTGTTTTGATTTTCTTGCTTCTGTTTTCCTGAATCTAGAGCCAAAATGGATACGGAGAAGTTTCCTTGTGTGGCTCTTAGTGTGTACACACCACTGCCGGCTCTGTCCAGGCCCACCTCTTGCTTGGCCATTGTTTGTTTATGCCTGTGTATCCCATCTCACATTCCCATTCCCTCCCCCATGTGGCCAGCCATTCTCGTATGTTTGCTCTATGTATCCAGCTGAATTGTGTTCCCCCAAAATTCATGTCTACCCAGAGCCTGTGAAACAGAGAAATAGAGTCTTTGCAGATATAATCAAGTTGAAGTCAAGTCACGCTAGAGTAGGGCAGGCCTTAAATCCAATGTGACTGGTGTCCCTATAAGAAGACAGAAATGTAAATGCAAAGAGAGGCATGGGCACACAGAGAAGGAAGACAGAAGCAGAGACGGGAGTGATGCATCTACAAGCCAAGGAAGACCAAGAATTGCCAGCACCATCAGAAGCTACGAGACAGGCATTGAACAGATTCTTCCTCGGAGGCCCAGAAGGAACCAACCATGTCGACACCTCAGTTTTGGACTTCAGGCCTCCAGAACTATGAGAGAATAATTTATTTTGTTTTAAGCCACCCAATTAGTGGTAGTTCCTAACAGCCCTAGGAAACCAATGCAATGTAAATTCTATAATTTGTATTCTTGCAAAACATGAATTGCTTTGTATGACTGTAATTTTAATTTACATAAACAATATCATGCTGTAGATTGCTTCTGCTTGTTTCTTTCATTTCTTGTAGCACTTTCTTTGGGATATATCCATGGTGTGGGTACCTCTGGTAGCATTCATTTACGTGTTCCCAATCCACTCACTAGTGATGGGCTCCCAGGAGGCTTCAGATCCCTGTCCCTGCAAGCAGGGAGAATAAACATCTGTACACACACCAAATGACTTGTGCATGACAATTTATTTTGTTCATATACCCAAACATGGAATTGCTAAGTCGTAAGAACTATGCAAGGCCGGGCGCAGTGGCTCACACCTGTAATCCCAGCACTTTGGGAGGCCGAGGTGGGCAGATCACCTGAGGTCAGGAGTTTGAGACCAGCCTGACCAACGTGGAGAAACCCCGTCTCTACTAAAAATACAAAATTAGCCGGGCGTGGTGGCGCATGCCTGCTCAGGAGGCTGAGGCAGGAGAATCTCTTGAACCCAGGAGGCGGAGGTTGCAGCGAGCCAAGATTGTGCCATTGCACTCCAGCCTGGGCAACAAGAGCAAAACTCCATCTCAAAAAAAACAAAAACAAAAACAAAAAAAAGCCTGTGCATATTTAACTGAAATAACTACTATTAGAATGCTTTCAGAATCACTACTATACTTTTCTCACTCCTACCAACTGTACATGAGGGTTTTTCTGTCCTCAAACCCCAACCATACTTGTCATTATTTGGCTTTCTACGTTTTGCCAGCCTAGTAGGTATAAGGTAACGTGTCACATTTTTATCTGCACTCTGATTAATAATCTGAACAACTCTTTCTTTGTATGCCTGTTTATTCTTTTCGTAAATTACCTGTTTGCAACCTTTGCTCATTTTTTTTTCTGTTGGGATGCTGTCTTATTCTTGTTGCTTTGTACGAGTTCTTTGTATATTTTAGATCAGCAATTCAAAAGTTTTTGGCAGGGGGTGGGGCACTGTTTATACTCTTAAAAATAACTTAGAATCCTAAAGAGCTTTTGCTTACATTTATTATATCCAATATTTTCCATGTTAGAAAACAAAACTGAGAAAGTTTTTGTTTGTTTTGTTTTGTTTTGAGACGGAGTCTCACTCTGTCGCCCAGGCTAGAGGGCAGTGGCGCCATCTCGGCTCACTGCAAGCTCTGCCTCCTGGGTTCACACCATTCTCCTGCCTCAGCCTCCTGAGTAGCTGGGACTACAGGTGCCCGCCACCACACCCACCTAATTTTTTTGTATTTTTAGTAGAGATGGGGTTTCACTGTGTTAGCCAGGATGCTCTTGATCTCCTGACCTCATGATTCACCTGCCTCGGCCTCCCAAAGTGCTGGGATTACAGGCGTGAGCCACCGCGCCCCCAGCCTAAAGGTAACAATTTTAAACTCGTTACATGTTAACACAAATAACATTTTTTATAAAAAAATTATAATTTCCAAAAACTTAATGAGAAAGAAGCAATATTTTTCAGTTTTTCAACTCTTTTGAATGTTTGGCTTAAGACAGTTGAATTCTTGCATCTGCTTCTGTGTTCTGTTGAAATATATTATTTTGGTTGAAGTAAATGAAGATACTTAGTTGGGAGATGGAAGAGTTATTTAATAATTGCAGATAATTTGATATATTCTTTGCTACTACACCAAAACTCAGTAAGTGGTAATTTTTAAAGGTTATTTGCAATGTGGAATCCAAAATTATATTGAAGAGCTTTTCACTGTTCCCTAAAAATCCACCATCCAGTTTGAATAGATCTTTTACCCATGCATGATTTTGTAGAATCATTCATTAGTCATTTGGGAAATATTAGTTCACAGTTACACAAGTCACCCAAATGTTAACATATTTCATTATACAATATCAAAAAAATCACATTTGTTGGTATCACTACCAATCTCATCAGAAATGTCTTTAAGTGCTGGGAACCTGTCAAGCTCATGATAATGAATATGTTTCCCAAAATCCTAATTTTTGCTTTAAAGCTTGAATGTTATCATTGCCAACACATACTGTCGGTGGTTTTCTTTGAAGTGCCAAGCTCAATTTATTCACTTCTGAGAAAGCAGGGTGGGAGGTGCTGGGATGAGAGGCAGGTAGTTTGCTTTCAGTCTCACAAACTTTCTCCTAAAAGGCTACCAATTCCAGCAGACTCTGACCAGAATACTGGACAGCCAGGCAGCCAGACTGCAGCCTGAGAGCTGAAGGAAAAGTAACGCCCCTATTCAGGCCCCTAACTCTGCAGCCAAGGGCAAACTCAGCCTGTCCTGAGACTACGAGACCACCTGCCTGGGAGGCCAGAGAGAAACCTGAGCTTTCTGACCAACACTCCCAGGAGCCACCTGAACTGGCCACTGTCCAGCCAGGTGAACTTCTCAGAGTCCCAGTTGTCTTATCTACAAGACAGAGCTGATAATGGCAAACTTCAGCCACAATTATTGAGCACCTCTTATCTTCCAGGCTCTAGATGACAGCTCCAGACAAGTCTCAGCCCCAAGGAGCGTATGTTCTGGAGAGCACTGGTTGGACCCTGTTGCAAGGATAATAGATGGGAAATGAGAGAACCAAAGCCAAATCTAGCCAGAGAGGTGACCTCTTATTACTAAAGAGCCTAGTGTTACCTAATCTATTGCACCATCTATTGCTTTCCACCCCCAGAATTCCAAACAAATATCAAGTGAAAAATCACACTGACTCGACGTCTGGCATTTCAGTTAGTTCATACAGAACTACTGTAGCTAAATAAAATACTCAAAATAGTTCCTGCACATCCCACCATGAGTATTACTAGGGTCTGAGCATCCCAGATGATTCAGAAAATCTTCACCTTTCCATATAGTAGGGATAGATTTCAGATTTAAAGTGGGTTTTTTGGGTTTTTTTTTTGAAACAGAGTCTTGCTCTGTCGATTTAAAGTGTGTTAAACAAAGAACTCGTGCTCTCTCTCTCTCCCTTTCACTCCTCTCTTTCTCCCCCCCACCCCCACACACCCAAACCACTATTCTTTTAGGATCTTCTAGGAATTTTGGTCTCCTAGGAGTGCATTATAAAATGCAAATAACCCAGGAGGAGGTCACACTTAACGCCATCCTCAGTTTACACTTGAATTAACAATTAACTCCTTAGGAGAAGCCTCCAGCTTGCAGAATTTTCAAGCAGACCTCAGAAATCAACCACCGACTCTCTCACTCAGTTAATGGATCCCAACAAATGAACAAAATTGGGATTGGAAAGGGGAAGCGTCTTCCCAGGATCATGCAGCCTACTGGCAAGAGGGTGGGTAGGGAAGCCAGTTTCCTACTCTGCAGGCTTCCAAAGCCTCCTGTTCTTCTGGGCATAATCAAAGGCTCCCAGAGCAGCAAAGGGCAGCTTCCATTCAGAAGGACTCCATGTTCAGGCTGCAGACACCCTGCACAGTGCCCCTGCAGCTCTGGGAGTTGTTCTAGAACTTTCCTCAAGTCCACTTACTACTGTATCTCCAGGTTCATCCACCCAACTGCCACCTCCATATCCAGCCCTTCAGCTGATCCCCACTCCCAGCTGTCTCCTGGGCTCCCCATCCTGGCTTCCCCTGGACACTGCCTTTCAGCTGTCCCTGTGCCTGCCATATGCAGTCCACACCTGGTCAAGCCTGAGCACTTCTGCTCCGGCCCAACTTCAAATGTCCTTTTTAGTCCAGAAGAGAATTGAACAGCTATTGTGACAAACGCACCTCATGTAGCACCCAGGACATGCCTAATCGGGTGGTAGTGTTACAGGAAAAGGGGTCCTGATCCAGACCCCCAGAGAGGGTTCTTGAATCTTGTGCAAGAAAGAATTTAGGGCAAGTCCATACAATGAAGTGAAACAAGTTTATTAGGAAAGTAAAGAAGTAAAAGAATGGCTACTTGGCAGACGGAGCAGCCCGTTTTTTACGGTTATTTCTTGATTATATGCTAAACAAGGGTGGATTATTCATATTCATGCCTCCCCTTTTTAGACCATATAGGGTAACTTCCTGACTTGCCCTGGCATTTGTAAACTGTCCTTGCGCTGATAGGAGTGTAGCGGTGAGGATGACCAGAGGTCACTCCCGTTGCCATCTTGGTTTTGGCAGGTTTTGGCTGGCTTCTTTACTGCAAGCTGTTTCATCAGCAAGGTCTTTATGACCTGTATTTTGTGCTGACCTTCTATCTCATCCTGTAACTTAGAATGCCTTACCCATCTGGGAATGCAACCCAGTAGGTCTCAGCCTTATTTTACCCAGCTCCTATTCAAGATGGCATTGCTCTGGTTCAAAGGCCTCTGACAGTGGAAGAAAGTCTAGAAAACAAGGGAGTGATGGACGTTCTTGGGGCAGGCCCTGAACCAGGTCCTTTCTGCAGAACAGCTCCTTTGGAGGCTTCTGGAACCCAGTGTCACCTACTCCCGTCTCCTGCTCCTCCAACTCCCTCACAGTGGCTCTGGAGAGGGCATGAAGGGCCGGCTAACCCAATGGGAGACACACACACAGCAGTCACCCTGAAAGCCAGGCTTCTAGTTTTCACAAGCTACTGGGAAGCCCATCAGTTCATGCTTGTCATTCAATATCCCAATAATCCTCTTCATGTTTCTCAGCCATATTTGTTGATCAATCAATTCTGTCTCATTAGAAAAATTTGCGTCTGTAGAATCCATTTTTCCTTATGTATCTTTCAGGAATCAGGCGCACATGCTCCAAATATACACATACAGTCGTCCCTTGGTATCCGCAGGGGGTTTGTTCCAGGATGGTCCCCCTCATACCAAAATTTATAATATTCAAGTTTCTTATGTAAAATGGTGTAGTATTTGCATATGACCTATGCACATCCTCCCATATACTTAAAATTATCTCTAGATTACTTTTTTTTTCGAGACGGAGTCTTGCTCTGTCTCTGTGGCTGGAGTGCAGTGGCACAATCTTGGCTCACTGCAACCTCCACCTTCTGGGTTCAAGCGATTCTTCAGCCTCAGCCTCCTGAGTAGCTGGGACTACAGGCGCCCGCCACAACGCCCAGCTAATTTTTGTATTTTTAGTAGAGACGGGGTTTCACCATATTGGCCAGGCTGGTCTCAAACTCCTGACCTCGTGATCCGCCCACCTCGGCCTCCCAAAGTGCTGGGATTACAGGCGTGAGCCACCGTGCCCGGTCTGTATTACTTATAATACCTTACAGAATACAAATGCTATGTAAATTGTTGTTATACTGTATTTTTATTATTTTTATTGTTGTTTGAATCTGTGGATGCGGAACCCACAGATAGGGAGGGCTGACTGTATTCTGGGGAAAAAGAATGATTTATCACGTAAATTTGTCACTTAAGCAGTTCAAGGAAAGATGGGGTGATTCCTTCTCCGGGAGGTTGCCACAGGAATTATAGGAGGTGCTGTTAGCTGCCTTCCCAATGGTGAAGCCTCACAGTTTGAATGGGACTGATCCCAGCCCCAGCTCCAGGAGTGGGCCCTGTTTGGTCTAAATCATGATTCACCTATCAGTAGCCTCACCCTCTCAACACAAAAATTGGTTCAGTGGGCCGGGCACGATGGCTCACACCTGTAATCCCAGCACTTTGGGAGGCCGAGGCAGGTGAATCGTGAGGTCAGGAGAGCAAGACCATCCTGGCTAACATGATGAAACACTGTCTCTACTAAAAATACAAAAAATTAGCCAGGCATGGTGGCGGGCACCTGTCGTCCCAGCTACTACGGAGGCCGAGGCAGGAGAATGGCAGGAACCCAGGAGGCAGAGCTTGCAGTAAACTGAGATCGCGCCATTGCACTCCAGCCTGGGTGACAGAGCAAGACTCCATCTCAAAAAAAAAAAAAAAAAAAAATTGGTTCACTGTGTGTATGCATATATAAAATAATCACATCTATCTCAAATAAATACAAATATCACATCTATCTCAAATAAATATAAACACGATTTACTTTCTAAATTACTTATATGAACATATTTAATTACTTCTGGTATTTAAAAAATGTGTAAGAAAGATCATCATCACACACAAAAAAAAAATTCGTTCAGAAACAGGCATTTGACCTAAGTTTGTCCAGGTGCAGTGAATTCTAGCACTTACGCTCCATGGCTGAGAGAAAGAAAAACCCCTGTCTCCTGCTGGACATGAAGGAGAAAGCACACATTCCCCCCCAACTGGCAACTGTCTTGTGACGACATGGGGAGCCAGCCTTGGATGTAGCTGACACGACGGAAAGCGGAGGGGAAAGAAAGAAAACTATTCATCGTCATCCTGAGCTTCCGGATCAAGCTTTGCTAAGTGTCAACCCTGCCTCTGGACTTTTCAACAACATGAAAACTCTTGTTATCTTTTAAGCCAGTTTGATTTGGATTTTCTACAGCTTCTAGCCAAAAGCATCTTAACTGATACAGAATTTTATGAATCCAGTAGGGATTTTGGTGACGTCTAAGCACACCACAAATCCTGAAGTTCACAACATGTTTCTGGGAAGGTGAGGCATGGGGTGAATACACCTGAGCCCTAAAAAGCCTCTGTCTCTCTCAGTCGTTCAGCATCACTCTGGCTACTAACAGCTGCTCTCAGGTGCACATAACGTCATCAGAGCTTCCTGAATTGTTGCTGTTTGCAACAGAGCAAGTTGAGGATATTCTCGTTTTTCCAGCCACCACGTGTATCTCCTGGCAAGTTTGGCTTTTGTAGCAGGATGCCACAGCACACTCTAACCAGGGGGCATAGTGGTGCAAATGTACAAGGATTCTCCCCCTCCCTCCTCCTAGCCCTCTCTGCCCCGTTCACCCTCCTAACCACCCACCCCCTCTTCACCCCCTGTGGGCCTTCAAAGGGTTAAATGCTAAAGAAGTGGCTTTTAAGAACAGCTGGAAACAAAGTGTTGCCCCAGGCTGACAGCAACCAACAAAAGGTCAGGAGGTTGAGGGAATCATTTTCCATGGGAATAATTTTCTAAGGAAAATGGTAAACTTATTTAAGTCACCAGGTGGGACACATAAAGGACAATCGTTCCTGGCTCTCAAGAAATGCGTGACGTTTGACCTCACAGATTTTGCCTGTCTCTGATTTACATAATGAACCCAAAACCTTGGTAACATTAAATGACTTTTTATATATAATATATATATGTATGCTATATCTTTTTTTTTTGAAATTGTATCACCTCTCTGGAAATAAACATGGGGGAGGGGAGAGGAGGATATAAAACATTCATACCCTTTAACCCAGCAAGCCGACTCTTGGGACTACAGCCCAGTGAAATATATTCAACAGGGGAAATAAGCTTCGTGTGCAAAGATGTTCACTGCAACATTATTTATGATAGAGAAAAAACCCTAATGGTTGAGCAAAAGGTGGTGGGTTCGTAAATTATCGCACATCAATGTGAGAGAATATTATGGGCCATTAAAAATGCAAAGTAACAATATGGAAAATGTCAACTTAAAAAAGCAGACATAAAACAATACGCACAGATGATTGGAACTAGCTGACTGCATCTCTGGTAAATAAAGACTGGAAAGTGCGGCAATAATGATAAACGTTAAATGGAGCCAGTAGAATCGGGAAAGATCCTCCTCTTTTTCTCGGTTTTATGTAATGTTAATTTATTTTAACTGATTAAAAATGTAATTTTGTTGCAGAAATGAAAATATTCATTAGCGGTGGTGAGGGTTGCACACCCTTATGAATGCGGTAAAAAACATTGAATTTTACACTTTCAATGGGTAAATTGAATGGTGTGTGAATTCTCTCAAGAAAGCTGTTATAAAACATGTAATTTTGTTTGCAAAAATGTGAGCCACTTTCTATGGAGAGAGAAAAGATCTTTGTTTTCCATTTAAGGAACAGTATCATTCAACAGCTGGATTATACAGGGCTTTTAAATAAATTCTCAACATAATTTATTAAGTTGGTAATAAATACCACCTTGGGTCCTGTTTTAACCAGAGCATACCCAGTGTGCCTAATGAGACAGGAGCCTCCCTGGTCCCTCTGGAAATGCGCTAGACATTAGTGGGAAAAAAAAGCTCTAAAATCAGACTGAATGAATGAGTCTAAACCTCAAAACAACAACTGAATCATAGTTTTGTTCTGGGCAGCTAATATCCTCTCTGAGCCTCTGTTTCTTCCTCCATAAAACAGAGTTAATTCCACCTTCCCAGTGGGGTTGTGAAAATTAAAATATACCACGCATCTCAAACATCTGAGAAATAGAAGATAGTCCGTAGCTTCTATATTCTTATTGAAAAGCAGAGGTGCAACTGAATCAAGTTTTTAAATTACTTTGAATTTTGCCCAAGTGAAGGGGTGCCCCCACAAATGATACTAGTGGTCCTTCTTCCTATGGTGAACCTGGGGAATGGTGGGGACATTTCTGTCCCTCAGAGTTGAATCTGGATTACCCCCTCCTCAGGGGTGTTTTCTAAGAGGCTGAGAGTGTTTTCTAAGAAATTGACCACTGGTCACTGGTCACTCATCCCTAACAACCTGACCCAACAGCCATCACGTTTGTGCATATGGCTCATCCCAAATCACTCGTGCCTGGAAAGGAGAGAGCAAAGCTTCATCCCAGGGCTCCTAAAACAACCGCTGAGTTCAGTCAAATAAAATCAGCTAAAGCAGCTCCGCACAGCAACATAAATTCCAGCTGGAGATGTGCACTCGTGATGAAACTGACTTCTTCCTAACGTGAAAATCCTGCAGCATAATGACAATCACCAAGGCTCTGGGGTGGGAAAAACCTCAGGCTGAATATTGTCTCTACCTCCTTAACAGCCTTCAGTCAAATTACTTACTATATCTATGACATGGTTTTCTCTACTGGAGAAAAACCGGGCTTAAAATGCTAGTTAATTGTAGAGAGGATAAAATAAGAAAAAATATAAACATTATCTGCTACATGGTAGATGCCCAATAAATGGTAATGTTATCCACCCTTCCCTGTTACTCCTTAACTGATGGACATCTCCTGCTAAGATAGGCTTATTCATCCTTTTTCTCATTCTCTTTCTTCTACTCCTACTCCCTAGTTCCACTCCTACCCTCTGATTCCTTCCCCTTCCCAAACCAACAAGCCCCAGAGTGCAAGCCTCCAAATGTCAGTCAGCACAGACTCGGCCCACAGCATACGGCCCCACACAAACTCCCCATGATCTCATGCAGTTGGACTGTTATTTTTACAGACTGGTATTAAGAAGCGTAAACCAGGAATGTTTTCAGCGCTGTCACACTGGGTATTCTCAGGCCTGCAGTGCAGATGGAGCGTTCCTAGAATTTTATGGTACCACACGTGGGCCTCTGTGCTCTTCTTCAGACCCCAGGCTCTCCAGGGCCTGGAGGAAAGCATCGGTGGGCTCCTCACTCCACTCTGCATTCTCTCCAGTTTGTTTCCGACCAGGCATTCCCTGCGCTAGCCACTGCCCTGAGAGAAGGAGTAGATTGGGGATCCAGCAGCTCTCTAGCGAGCGATCAGGGCACCTGCTGTATGAGAGTCATTGGCTGTGTAGCATGTGACCCAGGAAGTGGAGCTGCTTGTTCCTGACAAGCCACCCTGCTCTTCCACAAACAGAAGCAATGAGCGGGGCATGGAACAAGGCTGGGGAGGACACGTGCTCCCACCTCCCAACCGCCATGGAGGCAAACAACAGGAATTTCACAACTGCGGGACATGTACTGGAATTGTCACAGCTGCAATAAATCACCTGTGTAAACCATGAAACACAAGCCATGTATTTTGTCCTGTAATTGTGTAGATAGATAGATACATAGGTATAGCTATAGATATAGATCTATAGATATATAGTAGTCCTCCATCTTTTCATTATACACGGTTTCACTTTCTGTAGTTTGAGTCACCTGCGGTCAACCGCAATCCAAAAATATTAACTGAAAAATTTCAGGAAAAAAATAATTCCTAAGTTTTAAATTGTATGCTGTTCTGAGTAGTGCGATGAAATCTCTTGCTGTCCTGCTCCAACCCACCTGGGTTATGAATCATCCCTTTGCCCGGCGTTTATATAACATTTGTTTTCCCAAAAGTAGAAGAGAAAAGCAAAGAAAAGGTATAAGCACTCTGGTCTAACACAAGGGAAGATGAACACTTCAGTAGCAAGTACCTCCCCCACTGGAATTCTCTCTCTCTCTCTCTCTCTCTCTCTCGCTCCCTCCCTCTCTTCTCTCCTCCCTCCCTCCCCACTTCTTTCTCTCCTTTCTCTGTCTCTCCCTCTCTCTGGTGTGGACTCACACAGCTTTCTTCGCTCATTACACGCATTTCTGAATCTCAGCGGCTCAATAATTTGCTGTCATCAGCTGTGGTTTCTTTCTCAGTAACTGCAATTATTTGAAAACAATGTCAGCATGAAAGTCTTTCTTCTTTCTCCCTGGCACCCGCTCGGGGCTTTGCTCCTCACATGCCCTGTCTTGCTGCCTCTCCCGCCTGACTTTGCTTCTTTCCCTCCTCCATCTGCCTCGCCCCTCACCCGGCTCACAGTGTCCCTGGTAGAGAAGGGACAGAGTGACCCGTGTCTGTACACAAGGAGCAGCCACTGTACCCTCATGCACTGTAAGTGGGTTCAAGGCCAAGATCGGCAGGCGTGCCAACCAAGCCCCCAAATATTTTGGCGATGCCACGAGTATGCCACGAAGGTACTCCACCATGGCAGGCCCCAAAAGGGATACACAGATGCTTCTCTATTCTTTGTCCTCTCCCTCACTCAGACCACACAGCAGAACAACTTCAAAAACATTCAAGGAATGGTTCCCATTCTGTGGGTCTAAGGCCTCAGAGCTCCTTAAAGGGAAGACAATGCTCGTAAGTCCTTTCAGCATTCCAAAAACGCTAATAAAACCCATGCACCGGCTCATAGGGGATGGCCCAGGCTGGCTGAATCATCACATTTCTCTGCCTTGGTCCAGCACAGAATTGACACAACCTGAGATCACTGGCAAAATCACAAAGACCAGAGCCTTGCAGAGAATAAGCGCATCATTTACTAAATAAAAAGGAAAGTAATGATTACTTAGCCAACTGCTGTGTTTAGCGAACAAAAGTGTTTCTAAACACAGGACCAACAGGCAAATAATCTTGAATGAAATGGTTCTTAATAGAGAAACAGTCAGAAATCTTTGACTTCAACCTCATTCTAAAAGACAACTGGGTAGCTGTCTCAATTAAAGATACTGTCCACGTGACGGTGAAATGACAGACAGCAGCTGCTATTAGTGTGAAACTCCATGGCTTCCCAGGAAAGGGCACGGAAGGAGTGAATATATTCGTGATTCGCTATCCCAAGCACTGGGAAATAGAAGAGTGACAACTTCTACCTGTTGACCCACCAAATCCCCAAAGACCAAGGATGAACACAGGATGTCCTCGTTTTAACTGAATCATCTCTAAGGGACTCCAAAATGAACAATACAGAGAAATGCAGTCAGGATCACCACAGAGCTTGAGACTGCAGAGGTGTGGCTGAAAAAGGTTGCACTCTCTAGAACACGCTTGGAGTCCCGAATGCCTTTCTTCTGCTAGCCCATACAGCTTTGCCATCATCCAAAAACCTCCTGAAATCTCACCTCCTCCATGAACCCCAGATTAGTGATGATGAGAGAAAGTGATTCTTTTGTACCTATCACTTTCCAAAGACCACACAAGCCCTGCATATAAAATATGCACATGTCAAAAATAACAGGCCATATTTAGCTATTTTTTCCTACTCAAACGTGATATGCTGGGGACTCCCAGCTTGACCCAACTGTTTTAGGGAGGCCCAAGAAACCTATCATGTATCCTCCCCTAATAAAGCACGTGGCTGACAACGTCCTTACCTCTTCAGGAGTGTCCAAGGGCAGCCAACACTGCAAGCCAGGCCACTTCCCTTGGATCTTGCCCTGCACCCACTGACCACAGATGAACCACTCCTGCCCAGTACTAGTGCTTCCTGCATCACCATAGTGGATGCATTCCCTGCTGGGGACCACCAGGCCTACCAGCCATCACTGCCAATTGCACTGGGTGGAACCGTCTCTACTGAACTCCTTCACCTGGTTGGCTAAGTAAAAGAAATTGTCCCCTCTTCTTTTCATGCAAAATGCTGCTGGAAACATATCAAAACAACACAATTGTGCTCCAAAGCTTATTGAGTTTTTTAGCGAAAACAGCTGTATCAGTCTTTACTCACAGCCTTTTGTCTCTGGAAGACCAAGCCATGGGTCCTGGGGGGTGCTGGACCCTAGGCAAATCCAAATGAGAGTCTTCAGGCCAGGTACCGTAGGTTGGCTTCCTTCTGATGGCTGAAGCTTGGTAGTGATGCCAACCCCATGTCTCTGCCTCACTGAACCCTAAAAAAGTCCTCTTTTCTCTGAAGCCTCTGGGTGCCTCATTAAAAGCACTTAGGGAGAAGCCTCATGTACAATCGGACACTGCCATCCACTGTCACCAGCATTCAAAGAAAGACGCGTTGGCACCAAAAGAGGTAACTAAGTCACTGCCCTTACTGAGAAAGGAGTGTGTGTGTGTGCATGTGCGTACGTGTGCGTATGTGTACATGCATACTGTATGTGCATGCATGTGTGCATGTGTATGTGTCTGTGCATGTGTGTTTGCTCTCTCCCTACCTACACTGTGTGAGAGCAGGGATGAGGAAGGCATGACAAGAGTTTGGCAGACATAGACTATTTGAATCTTGGTGTGTGCAGGACATTTGAATTTTGGCAGAAAGAAATCTATTAGAGGAAGTATGTCATTAGAAATGGAAGTGTAGGGAGAGGTTAGGGTTAGTTAAGCTCAACTGAGGAAAGGGCCAGGTACCTATTCTGCTCATTTTGTCATGAACTACAGAAAATCTTATCACATACTGGAGAAACCTTTGTGCAGACAATCTTTTGAGAATCTGTTATGGGCTGAATTGTGTCCTTGCAAGATTCATATGTTGAAGCTCTAATCTCCAAAGTGACTGCATTTAGAGACAAGGTCTTTAAAGACACAATTAAGCTTAAATGAGCTCATAAGGGTGCAACTCATAATCCAACGGGACTTGTGTCCTTATAGAAGAGGAACAGACAACCAGGAATGTGTGTGCACAGAGAAGAATCCGTGTGCAGATGCGGTGAGAAGGTGGTCATCTGCAAACCAAGGAGAGAGGCCTCAGGAGAAATCAGACCCACCCGCACCCCCATCTTGGACTCCCAGCCTCGAGAATCGTGAGAAAATAAACTTCTGTTGGTTAGGCCACTCGGTCCGTGGTATTTTGTTATGGCAGCCCTAGCAAACTAATGCAGACTCACTGCACCGTATCACTGCTCTTGTTTTTATGTAACTTTAGGAACCGAGCCCCTTGTTTTTGCCCCACTGAAGTGAATGAGGACCTGTTGTCAACATGCCATCAGAGTTAATACAGAGCCCAAGCTGCCATCTTGGAAGCGAGTACTGTTCTACCACGTGAGCCTGTGTGTATCCTACACGCCCAAGGCAATTCCCTTGCCACATCCACATCCTTCGTATAGATACCTGTGGCACTCCTCCCTCAAAGGCACTAACCCTTAAAAGCCCGTTCATTAAAGTTGGTGCTAAAAGAGTAAATTCGAAAGTTGGCTCTCTCCTGTGGACCAGTTCAGTGAACCCAAAGGCTTATGCCAATCTCCCCATGACATTGCAATGATAAATCATCTCTGCCTATCTCTCTTCTCCCGGTCTTCTTCTCCTGCACTCCTGGGTGTGTGACAGACAACCAGGGAGTTTTCATTCCACTGTAGAGTTTAGTGTGGCAACCAATTCATTACGCACTTATGTCCCATCATCCCAGAGAGTGCTGTTAGCCCAGCCACACAGAAACCACACAACAGTCAACATAAATTACTGTCATTCCTAGACAACCAAATCCCGATTCACTTCACCTTGAAGAACCATGAAAATGCCATGAACATTGTATAGCCCTATCCTTTGCCAGCTTGGTTCGTTTTTAGCAGGGCCACACCAACAGCTAAATTGCTCAGGAGCCTTTACTGAGCAGCTTCCAAATTCTTATTGAGTAAAATGACAGAAAAAGAAAGAAATGCATTTCCTGTCCATTGTTCTGCTGATGGTAACCAATAACACTCTAAGTTTACGGGACCTTACTGATGCCAAGACTTGTTTTCACATGTACCTTGTCATGAGAGGATGAGAGAAGTGATAGCACATTGTTCATAGCTGCCCTCGATGGTTCCAGCACTCCAGAGGCCTCTGAGACTGCACTGGATGTTGATTGTTCCAGAAGTCACCAAAACTATTTGTTCTGTTGTCCATGTTATCCAGGAAATGCAGTTTTTTTGTTTTTTTTGTTTGTTTGTTTTGAGATGGAGTTTCCTTCTGTCTCCCAGGCTGGAGTGCTGTGGCGCGATCTCGGCTCACTGCAAGCTCCACCTCCCGGGTTCACGCCATTCTCCTGCCTCAGCCTCCCGAGCAGCTGGGACTACAGTAGGCGCCCGCCACCATGCCCTGCTAATTTTTTTGTATTTTTAGTAGAGGCGGGGTTTCACAGCGTTAGCCAGGATGGTCTTGATCTCCTGACCTCGTGATCCGCCCGCCTCGGCCTCCCAAAGTGCTGCGATTATAGGCGTGAGCCACCGCGCCCGGTCCAGGAAATGCAGATTTTAAATTTAATTTACTTGTTGAATTATTGATAGCCTGTGCCAATTTATTTCCCATTTCAATTTTTGGCAAAGCCAGTTCTGCTTATGCAATCTAGAATTTTGAGTTGTGGTATCTATTTTTCGTTTTCCTTTTGAGACGGAGTCTCGCTCTGTCGCCCAGGCTGGAGTGCAGTGGCGCAATCTCGGCTCACTGCAAGCTCCACTTCCCGGGTTCACGCCATTCTCCTGCCTCAGCCTCCGCAGTAGCTGGGACTACAGGCGCCCGCCACCACGCCCGGCTAATTTTTTTGTATTTTTAGTAGAGACGGGGTTTCACCTTGTTAGCCAGGATGGTCTCGATCTCCTGACCTTGTGACCCGCCCGCCTCGACCTCCCAAAGTGCTGGGATTACAGACATGAGCCACCGTGCCCGGCCTGTGATATTTAGTGATATCTATTTTTTACTATTTAAAAATGTAAATATCCTTTTTTTTTTTTTTTTTTTTTTTTTTTTTGAGACGGAGTCTCGCTCTGTCGCCCAGGCTGGAGTGCAGTGGCGCGATCTCGGCTCACTGCAAGCTCCGCCTCCCGGGTTCACGCCATTCTCCTGCCTCAGCCTCCCGAGCAGCTGGAACTACAGGCGCCCGCCACCACGCCTGGCTAATTTTTTTGTATTTTTTAGTAGAGACTGGGTTTTGCCCTGTTAGCCAGGATGGTCTGGATCTCCCGAGCTCGTGATCCGCCCGCCTCCACCTCCCAAAGTGCTGGGATTACAGGCGTGAGCCACCACGCCCGGCCAAAAATGTAAACATCCTTTCTTGAGTGTCTCATATGTACCACCCACGCCAGGCAATTTCCTTTCCTTTCCTTTATTTAGACTTTCAACCCTGAGGAATCCTTGTTTCTCAGGTAGGACAATTGACAACAGGAAGATAAAGTGAATTTCCTAAGACCCCTCAGTTTGCAAAGGTCAAATAGGTCTAACTTCAAATTCTCTGGTCCTTTTACAATACCACACAGCTACTCAGTGTTGTTTTAGAAAAATCCATCATTTGGGGCCGGGTGCAGTGGCTCACGCCTATAATCCCAGGACTTTGGGAGGCCGAGGCGGGTGGATCACAAGGTCAGGAGATCGAGACCATCCCAGCTAACAAGCTGAAACCCCATCTCTACTAAAAAATACAAAAAAATTAGCCGGGTGTGGTGGCGGGCACCTGTAGTCCCAGCTACTCGGGAGGCTGAGGCAGGAGAATGGCGTGAACCCAGGAGGCGGAGCTTGCAGTGAGCCAAGATCACGCCACTGCACTCCAGCCTGGGTGACAGAGCGAGACTCTGTCTCAAAAAAAAAAAAAAGAAAAGAAAAATCTATCATTTTGGAGGCAACATATTCATATAATTGCTAAGTTGCTGCTGCTGTTGTTTGAGTAGGGACCTTGCTGTGTCATGTATGGTTCATTCAGGCAAGGGCCACAGACAGTGCCGTGCATGACCAAGCCCTGAGGATTGGCTTTAAGACAGACAACTGTCCTCACCACCACAACCCCCAGACTGGTCAGGGTCTGTGCTTTTTGAATTCAGTGATACAATCTCCACATTCTCTGCACCTCGGAATTGTCTGCTCATCTGTTTTTTTTTCCCCTTTGCAAGGCTTGCATCTTTGAGAGCAGATGTTTTCTCTCTCCTCCTAGTCCTCAGCTGGTACTTGGCATTTAGTAGGCACTCAATAAGTGTATGATGAACACATGAGTTAATCAAGTAATTGATTAGTTAATGGAAATAACATTAGTGGATTTGTTTCTAACAACAAAGCATCTTGATTTCCTGCCCCAGATCAGCACTCAAGTTCACCTGTGTCAGCCTCTGTGGAGCCTTCATTTTATGACTAAGTCTGTGGCCAAACCATCCTGTATTTAAAGCTCTCGGAGAAAATAACACACACGGCCTTTCTGATTCTAGAGTGTTTTACGCTGATTTACACAGCAACTAGAGCTCAAGAGAACTTCTAAAAAGAAGCTAGCCCTTTTCTCTCTAGCTTTAAAGGAAACCTCAGATGCATGCCAGCCCACCCCAGCAGCCTTTCCCACTGGGCTGGTTTTTGTCTCCACCCAAGGGGCTACCCAGCTATCTTGGGTGGGGTCAGGCCGATGAGAGCTGCGTGGAAATTCTGCACACAAGGTTTCACACCTACAGATGTGTAGGGTCAGGGGTGGTTGATGTCACTAATGCAGTGGGGACCTAGTCAGGAAAACACGCAGAAAAACTGACCCTAGAGAGACAAAAGGGAGGAGAGACAAGGAAAAGAAAGTGCAGAAAGGGAAGAGGAGACAAAGAAAAGAGGAGAAGGCTGGGAGCAAGGAGAAGGGCCTTGCACACTCAAGGGAAACCCCAGAGCTCACCTAGAGAGCAGTTCCAGCATCGCAGGTGATGAGCATTCCTAGAAAGCTTTAGCCCAAGCTTTAGTTTCAGTCCAAATTTGGTATTATTAGGATCTCAGATTAAAAGGGAATTTAGAGCAATATGTACGGGCGATTCACCTGGAGAGGGTTAAACAATGTAAATTCTCGGGCCCCACCTTAATAGATCTTGATTCTGTGTAGTTCCGGGTCTGGGAGTAGATATATCACTAACTCTCTCCCATGGTGATTGGTGCAGTAATCAGATTTCAGAACCTCCATCTTAGCATTTGCCCAGCCTCCTGAGAACACAAGAATTTCAGCTCTGCAGACAGACATGGCTTGCACATTTCCAGGGGCAGGAAGCTTATGACTTTTGAGATAGCTCTGGTTGTTAGAAAATTCCATCTTCTTAAAAAGTGCTCCCATCTGCCTCAGGAACTGAGTTCTACCAATTTAGGAAAAAAAGGATAAGGCAAGAAATTGAAGACGTGTATCCCCTGGGCCCCAAAAGGGGAAACATAATTAGAAATTCAAGCTGCTGTTGCCACTATTCTAACACCCTTTCTTCTCTCTGTCAAAATGCCCAACACCTAATTACTATGAAATCTAGCGTATCCACTAGGACAAGTTCTGTGTTCATATTTCTGATAACGTGCATAGCGTCCCCAAATGAGCTAAAAATCACATCACCCAGGAAGCCCCCTTTACTGGACCAATTGAGAAAGTAGGAAACGGTTGCTATTTCTTGCCCAATTCTTGCCAGAAAGACTCTATTTGACTTCCTAAGGGGAGACAAAGAGGACCAATGCCTGCAAAGCCTACAAGTGCTATAGAAACTTTTTCCCAACCAGCAAACCAGATAGAGGCTCCTGCCTCTGAATTAACAGTTTCCTCAAAAGCTGGCTGGCAGGCCACTCTTTGAAACCCTTGGGAAATCTTTACATTCACTAATTTGACAACCCCAAGGGTGTTTTTTCTTTTTTGAGACAGAGTCTTGCTCTGTCACCCAGGCTGGAGTGCAGTGGCACGATCTCGCCTCACTGCAAGCTCCGCCTCCCAGGTTCGTGCCATTCTCCTGCCTCAGCCTCTCAAGTAGCTGGGACTACAGGTGCTTGCCACCACGCCCAGCTAAATTTTTTGTATTTTTAGTAGAGACAGGGTTTCACCATGTTGGCCAGGATGGTCTCGATCTCCTGACCTCATGATCCACCTGCCTCAGCCTCCCAAAGTGCTGGGATTACAGGCGTGAGCCACCGTGTCTGGCCCCAAGGATGTCTGTTTTTAACAAGGTTTGGTAATCTTTCCAAAGAGGTCTCTGGGCTCCTTGAGAAGGGACTCCCCAACTCCTCACCACCCACAGACCTGACTGTCCATTATTAATCTACAGTTAGGTTGGCCAGGAGACCCCACACACTTCACTGGTTTGGGGTCTGAGAGGGTTATGTCAATCAAGACAGGAGGTGGGGGAGGAACTGAGGGGCGGTTTCTGCTGGATTGTCAGTTCCTGCTAGGAAAAGCAATTGATTGGGAACCAGGAAGAGCTCTTGGTTGAATCTCAGAACAGAATAAATATGCAAACTGAAACAGTCAAGGGGAAGTTTGCATGACACAAAACAATCCAAAGGGGCAAAATGGATTGTTTTAACCAATTCACCTGCACCTCCTCTGCAGGGCAGAGGGAAATACTGCCTGCAACTCAGCGAACATGAAGGAAGCAGGAATGCAAGCTCTTTCCAATATTTTGTTAATCTTTTTTTTTTTTTTTTTTTTTGAGATGTAGTCTTGCTCTGTCGCCAGCCTGGAGTGCAGTAGCACGATAGCGGCTCACTGCAACCTACACCTCTTGATTCTCCTGCCTCAGCCTCCTGAGTAGCTGGGACTACAGGTGTGCACCACCACACCCAGCTAATTTTTTGTATTTTTAGTAGAGACAGGGTTTCACCATGTTGGCCAGGATGGTCTCAATCTCTTGACCTTGTGATCTGCCCGCCTTGGCCTCCTCCTTGGATTAAAGGCATGAGCCACTGTGCCCAGCTATTTTGTTAATCTTAGGAATGATTCTGGATCCTCTGCTAGTTAGAAACTCCCCCAAGGAGAGCTGGTGCAGAGGTAGCCCTGGGTCTGAAGGAACAGATGAAGAGAGTGTGACTGCCCCTGGCAATCAACAGCAGATGGCCAAACGGAGCACTGGGAGTGAACTTCACTGTGACACAGAAAATTCAAAAGCAAGCACCTAAAATGCCACAGGGAACTTGTCCAGAAATCAAACCAAGCAGAGGAGGAACAAGAGATCCAGAGAACCCACACCTATGGAGCATCTGCTGTGTATCAGGCCCAGGATAGCCTGATTTAGTTTTCACCATCTGTGGCAGGGAATTTTTTCCCCATTTTACAGATGAGGAAGAGGAGGATAAAGGACTGTGCCTAAGGTGTTGAGGCTAGTAAGTGAGGGATTGGAGATTAAGAATACCCATCTGTCTAAATCCAGACAGCATTCACTACAGCAGCCCACCATTCTGCCCCAAGAGAAATAATATTTTCTGTAGAATATATGAAATAAGGATGATTTCTTCCCTTCCTTAATCAGCCAACCTAGCTTCCCTTCCAGCCTGTTCAGTCACGTCTGACCGTGTCACTCCTCCATCCCGCATCTTCTTGGGCAAAGACCTGGGCAGGACCACCAGGCAATCTTCCTAAATCACATCCCAACCCCAATGTAGGGTCCCCCAATCTGGAAGAATAATCGTTGTTAATATACCATTGTTCACCAGTAATTGCTTTCCTTTGGGCTTCACCTTCTCTAAAGCCATCGGCAATTTCTCCCAGCTCCTGCCTTCTTGAAGCTTTTGTTTAAGTCTTTAAAAGACACGACTTTCCAAAGAAATAATTAAGGCTTTCAAGCCCCACACTTTTAACAAATATATTTTGACCTCGTTTCATCCCTTTTGGAAGGGCGAAGTTTTCTGGCACCTTAAAGGGATTTTCATTCAATTATCCTCCAGAATCCTCTTTTCTTCTTTCTTTCAGCACAAAAAGCTTCCCATTTGCCTCCAAAGGTGAAATTAGGTTCTTGCCCATTCAGCATCAGGCAGGGTTTTAAATTGGATGAAATAATAATGCTTCTTTGAATTTCAGGGCAGCCTTCACAGAAAGAAATCAGAATCTGCCCTAAGAAGCAGCTCTATCATTCACTGCCTTTCCATTCTCCCTGTGCTCTGGGGGCAGGGGCTATGGCAGAGCTGGAATTCCAGTTCACACAAACACACAAAGACCCTAAGAAAAGTTTATTCAGGAGTTAGGATAAAGCCAGGGAGGCCATTCCTTGTCCCTCTGTGCTTCTGGACTGTGAGATGGTGCTGATCTTTCGACTTCAACCACCTTACCATTAGCCCCCCTTCATGCCTGGAGGAAAACCTTCCCCAATAAGGACTGAAGAGTTGTGAGCATTTTCTTTTTAGTAAAACAGAATGAATTCAAAAGGAATGATGATTGAACTGAAATAGAATGCCCCAGAAAAAAAAAAAAAAGAAAATGATTGGGATTAGCTTGACCTGAGCATTTATCCTTTAACTTGAAACAGACAACTTCCCTGAACATGGAAACTAAAGATAAACAGTCTCATTATATTTCTCATGAAGCATCTAGTTGCCTCGCCACCACCCAGGACCACCCAGTAAACACACGCACAAACACACTCACACATGCACACACACACACATCCTAGACGCACACACACACACATCCTAGACATCCAACAGAACCATCAGCAGGAGAAACCTGATCAGTTGGCATCCATTAATAATGAGAGGTATTTTACATAATTCAAATGAAAAGAATATCATCCATATGCCTCCCACAGCATCCCAGAAATACCCACCATTCACTGTCAGGCTGTAATGACTTCATTCCTAAAGAAAAGTAAGGAGTAGGTGACAGTCACAGCATGTCTTGGGGATAATCTGCCAAATTTATTTCAAAATTGAGGGATTCACTTGTCTCATTAATCCAGCCTCACCTGGCAAAGGAAAGGGTCTGAATGACTTGCACAGAAAACAGCATGTGTGATTGAAGCCTTGAAACCCGGGAGAGGAGAGGCAAAGAAGGAAGGAAGAAGAGAAGGCACAAAGGAATCCCTATGTGGGGTCAGGGGACAAGGGGAGCACCAAAAAGCAGGAGCCAGCCAACAAGGGCAGCTTTCTCATGCTTCTCGATTCTGCCTGAAGCCCGAAGGGGTGGTTTTTTTGTCGGTTTTTGTTTTTTTGAGACAGAGACTCACTCTGTCGCCCAGGCTAGAGTGCAATGGCGCGATCCTGGCTCACTGCAACCTCCACCTCCCAGGTTCAACAAATTCTCCTGCCTCAGCCTCCCGAGTAGCTGGGACTACAGGTGCCTGCCACCACGTCCAGCAAATTTTTTTTGTATTTTTAGTAGAGACGGGGTTTCACTGTGTTACCAGGATGGCCTCGATCTCCTGACCTCATTATCTGCCCACCTCGGCCTCCCAAAATGCTGGGATTACAGGCGTGAGCCACCGCGCCCAGCCAGGACTATGCAATATCTTATCACTGGGGAAGCTGGGTGCAGGGTACATGGAGGTTCTCTGCACTATTTTTGCAACTTTCATGTATATCCAAATATATTTCAAAAGAAAATCTTTAAGTAACTAAAGATAAAAACACTTGGGTAAGGGGTGTTGTAGAATTTATTTGAATAAACTCTAAATAAATATAGGAGGCAGGTGGCCGAGTGTGGTGGCTCATGCCTGTAATCCCAGCACTTTGTGAGGCCGAGGCAGGTGGATCACCTGAGATCAGGAGTTCGAGACCAGCCTGGCCAACATGGTGAAACCCCATCTCTACTAAAAATACAAAAATTAGCCAGGCATGGTAGCACACACCTGCAACCCCAGCTACTTGAGAGGCTGAGGCAGGGAGAATTGCTTGAACCCGGGAGATGGAGGCTGCAGTGAGCTGAGATAGCACCACTGCACTCCAGCCTGGGCAACAGAGTGAGACTATCTCAAAACAAACCAAAATATATAGGAGGCAGCACTTTGAGGTGGAAATATTTGGTTAGCCAGGAGAACAGGTTATGTTCCTCCATGTGTTACTAACACTGCATAGACTTGGGCTCGTTTTCTAGCCTCTCTATAATTTAGTTTTCTCATCTATAAAGTGGGAAAGAGGATCATACTATGGGATTTTCTGACATTTCTCGTTCTCAGAGTAAAAACCTGGGTTTCAAGACCCAAATGTTTTCAATCAGCAAGCCTGCTGCATCTGGAAACAAAAAAAATCTCCTGAAACAACTTCCTTGTAAATTTCTGTTTCTGATTTTGACAATTCTGCAAGAATGTCCTCCTTTGGTTTTACTGCAATTCCCAGCTGTAGTCAAGAAAGGTGCCTTGATTCTTCTGCTCACTCACCTTGATGACAGAGCCCATCTCTCCTTTACCTCTGCTATTCCTGCCACCCTGAAACATGCTTAGCCCAAGGTACTTGCACACAAGCAAAGAGCTACTGCATATGGGGAAGAGGGAGGCCAGGGCTTAGCAGTCAGACAATAAAGTTCATGACCAAAGGACTCAAGAAAATGCAATGAGAATCAAGCATGGCTCATGGACAAGAAAAGCCTTCATGAAAAAGCCATGTCTGCAAGCACTGGGCATGCAAGCAGGTATCCCTGCTGTCTAAACAGAAGCAACTCCTTAGAGCCATACAAGGAATGCTACAGCCACTATTAGACAATGATGCTTGTATAATAAGAAATGCTAGCAAAGATGTCCACTAGAGGTTTTTAATACCTTAATTATCAGAAACACCCGTGTAGGCTTGTATTAGGATACTTTCAGCCACAAGGAACAGGAACAGACGATCACACCAAAATCGTCCTTAAAAAAAAAAAAAAAAAAAAAAAAGGACGTTTATGGACTCAACTGTAAGATAAAAGGCATGGTAAGTCCCTGTGTTGCTGGCTTTAGAGCTTTTCTGTCTAATGTGGTTGCTTTAACCACATGTGGCTATTGAACACTTGAAACACGGCTAGTGAGAGTTCAGATATGCTTGAAGTATGCAATACTGACTAGATTTCAGAGACTTTGTACGCAAAAGTGAATGTAAAATACCTCAATAATTGTAGCTGAAATTATCATTTTAAATATTAAATAAAAGAAATTGCTTGAATTTCACCTTTTTTAATTTTATGTGGCTACAAAAAAATTTTAATTACAGATGTGGCTGATGTTTTATTACTACAGCACTGCTTTAGAACAGCTTGGCCCTGCAGAAGACATTTGTCAATGTCTGGAGATTGTTTTTTTTTTTTTTTTTTTTTGAGAGAGAGAGTCTCGCTCTGTCGCCCAGGCTGGAGTGCAGTGGCGCAATCTCGGCTCACTGCAAGCTCTGCCTCTCGGGTTCACACCATTCTCCTGCCTCAGCCTTCCGAGTAGCTGGGACTACAGGCGCCCGCCACCACACCTGGCTAATTTTTTTTGTATTTTTAGTAGAGACGGGGTTTCACCGTGTTAGCCAGGATGGTCTCGATCTCCTGACCTTGTGATCTGCCCGCCTTGGCCTCCCAAAGTGCTGGGATTACAGGCGTGAGCCACCGTGCCCTGCCTGTCTAGAGACATTTTTGATTGTCATGACTGAGGTTGGGGGGCGTGCTACTAGCATATATTGGAAAGAGGGCAGGGATGCTGCTGAACATCTTACAATGCACCAGACAGACCCATCACAAAGAATTACCTGGCCCAAAATGTCAACAGTCGACAAGGTCTGATAAAGCAAATTCTCCTCTCTGCTATAAACCCTACTGGCTTCCTTTTTTTTTCTCTCTCTCTCTCTCTTTCCCTCTCCCCACCCTCCATCCTCTGATAGGCCCTAGTGTGTGTTCCTCTCTGTGTCCATGTGTTCTCATCATTTAGCTCCCACTTATAAGTGAGAAAATGCAGTATTAGGTTTTCTTTTCCTGTGTTAGTTTGCTAAGGATAATGGCCTCTAGCTCCATCCATATTCCTGCAAAGGACATGATCTCATTCTTTTTTGTGACTGTATAGTATGCCATGGTGTACTGTGGCGGGATAATCAGAGATAGGAGAGACTGAAGAGAGTGAGTTCAGGAAAGGTCTTTATTAAAAGGTGATCACCTGGCTTAGTAGGACTAGCATCCAGGAAAGTCTGAGCCCCGGACAAAGAAAGCAGCCACCTTTTAAGCAGTCAGTGGTGATGCAGGAAGCATACTTACAGAAGCGAGAACAAAGGCAGTTGATCAGTCTTTTTTTTGAGACGGAGTCTCGCTCTGTTGCCCAGGCTGGAGTGCAGTAGCGCGGTCTCAGCTCACTGCAAGCTCCACCTCCTGGGTTCATGCCATTCTCCTGTCTCAGCCTCCCGAGTAGCTGGGACTACAGGCACCCGCCACCATGTCTGGCTAATTTTTTGTATTTTTAGTACAGACGGGGTTTCGCCGTGTTAGCCAGGATGGTCTCGATTTCCTGACCTCGTGATCCGCCCACTTCAGCCTCCCAAAGTGCTGGGATTACAGGCGTGAGCCACCGCACCCGGTGATCAGTCTTTTACATTTATCTATACTATATGTTCTACATCCTTAGGAAGCCATGTTTCTGTATCAACCTTGTAACTTTACAGCTGTGCTAGGCAGGTGACGCAGGAACTCACTGAGCCTCAAGGAATGTGAAACTGGGGAGTATGGGTAAGGCTCACTGAGCACGGAAGGAAAAACAGGCAGGCAGTATTCTTCTCTAACTTAGACTACGGGGTTGGGGGTGGGTACACTACACTTAGCTTTTGAAGGAAAAAGTAAAAATTTCTTGGTTGTCTTTGATTGTACTTGTAAAATTCATAAATTCCTTCTTCAGTATATGTACCACATTCTATTATTGCCTTTCTTTTAAGGTTGATTTTCCTCCTGATAGAGAGATGGCTGCCTGTAGCTATCTTCCTTGTTCTTGTCTACTGGGAAAAGACTGGACTCTCTTAAATCCAAAGAAGAATTTTCTCCCCTAGACTGATTCAAATTTCAGGGACTTATTTCTGTGATCAGCAGACACGTACTGTTTGCATTAAACTAAACTGTTTGTATGAACTGCATAGTGTCAGAGGTGTTTGAACCAGAGTGACTCCATCTTGAATAGGTGCTGGGTAAAATGAGGCTGAGACCTAATGGGCTGCATTCCCAGGAGGTTAGGCATTCTTAGTCACAGGATGAGATAGGGGGACAGCAGAAGATACAGGTCACAACGACCTTGATGAGAAAACAGGATTCGGTAAAGAAACCGGCCAAAACCCACCAAAACCAAAATGGCAATGAAAGTGATCTCTGATTGTTCTCAGTGCTCATTATACACTGATTATAATGCATTAGCATGCTAAAAGACACTCCCACCAGTATCATGACAGTTTACCCTACATGGTCTAAAAAGAGGAGGAACCCTCAGTTCAGGGAATTGCCCACCCCTTTCCCAGAAAATTCATGAATAATTCACCCTTTGTTTAGTATATAATCAAGATATAAGTTTACTCTCAGTCAAGCAGCCCATGCTGCTGCTCTGCCTATGGAGTAGGCATTCTTTTATTCTTTTACCTTTTTTTTTTTTTTTTTTTTGAGATAGAGTCTCGCTCTGTCACCCAGGCTGGAGTGGAAAGGCATGATCTCGGCTCACTGCAACCTCCGCCACCCAGGTTCAAGCAATTGTCTGCCTCAGCCTCCCGAGTAGCTGGGATTACAGACGCCTGCCACCCAGCTAATTTTTTTTTTTTTTAATCTTTAGTAGAGACGGGGTTTCACCATCTTGCTCAGGCTGGTCTTAAACTCCTGACCTCGTGTTCTACCCACCGCGGCCTCCCAAAGTGCTGGGATTATAGGCGTGAGCCACTGCGCCCAGCCCCTTTCTTTTGCTTTCTTAATAAACTTGCTTTCACTTTATGGACTTGCCCCAAATTCTTTCTTGCACGAGGTCCAAGAACCTTCTTTTGGTGTCTTGATCGGGACCCCTTTCTGGTAACAATAGTAAAAGGTATACTTCTGTTATTACTCTCTGAAAGAGCTCTGGTATTAAAACAATTGTTACAAAGAGTGATGGCTACCCACAAGAAACATGTAGCTCTCATACAGTTACTTCAACAAAGTGCTTTAAGTAATTATTAATATTTTCCATTATCAAATAAAGATGCTTTCTTTCCCAACACTGCACTGGCAAAACAGTATGTTCTCATTAACTGAGGTTTAAACAATTAGTTTTATTTCTCCCCATACCTAGTATCCAAATATCTATTTACTTGGTTATAAGACCAAACAATTTTTGTTATCGCTTATTCTTCAGATGAAATTCAATAAACCATGCATGACATTTTTAATTAAACTGATTTTCAGAAAGTGCATAGAAGTGATGTGGGGAACAGCAGGAGGATGAACTGCAGGGTATAAACAGAAAGAGCTGTTCTCCATTTTTAACCAAATCAATATTCAATAATCTTAGTGCCTTGAAAAGCTACAAATAGGGACGTAACATGAGACTTTATAGAAGAGGGAAAAAAAAAGATGTGCTTTAATCTTTTTCTTTGCAGAAGACGACCCAAGATTTTTGAAGACACAAAGACAAATGTGCCTTGTGTTAAACTGATCAGACATCAAGTTAAATCTCCTCAGAAAGGTGCTCATTCGGGGAACTTCTGCTCACTCATTTTTTTTTTTTTTTTTCTTGAGATGGATTTTTTTTTTTCCAGGCTGGAGTGCAATGGCGCGATTTCGGCCCACCGCAACCTCTGCCTCCCAGGTTCATGTGATTCTCCTGCCTCAGCCTCCCGAATAGCTGGGATTACAGGCATGTGCCACCATGCCCGGCTAATTTTGTATTTTTAGTAGAGACAGGTTTCTCCATGTTGGTCAGGCTGGTCTTGAACTCCCAACCTCAGGTGATCCACCCACCTCAGCCTGCTCACTCATTTTAAACACATCCATGTCGGTTCGCATTTTTCTTTCTCTTAAGTTATCTACCACCGTCTCCTTAAAGTTTCCTATAATTGAAAATGTACCACCTGGGCTAAAGAGAGACCATTCTCAACCTCAGTTTCTCCCCCAAGCCTCACCTTGAGCACCCACCTGCCCTCTTCTCTCATCCCCCCAGGCCCATATTCTAAACATGTGACCATCAGCATAGGATGTAGTAACTGCCTAACTGGGAAATCCACTCTGGTGAAGAGGCCCACTACCCTCTTTTCAGCTGTTCAATCCACTCACTTCCCCTAAAGGGAAGTTAAAGGAAGCTCTATTTTTGGTTAGGGTAATGCTAACTGCTGTATTAACAAAGAAACCCCACAACTCCAACGGCTTAACAATAAAAATGTAGCTCTCACTCACTTAACACTTCAGTGTGTTCGCTCTGGTTGGAGTGGAGGAGGAAGGCCTGGAGGGAGGTCTGGACAGGAGTAGGCTCTACCCTTTTCCCACAGGCAGTGTCCAGCTCTCCTGGGGTGTCACTCCCCAAGGGCAGGTAAGGAAGACACATGCACTGCTTAGCCACCTCTGCCTGGGTGCCGCCAACATCATTTCCATTCATAGGTGAAACTAAGTAACATCCCTGGCTAAGCAGCTGCTTCTCAGGAAGCATCCTGTACCATGGAAGGGCCCATGAATTTTGAGTGGACAGTGGCTTTCTCCGCCGCAGATGTCAAAGCAGCATTACTTCATGGGTCCCACCCAAGGACAGAGAAGGACAAGTCTAAAATGTAAAGTCAGTTATTCTAAAAGCCTGATGCCTATTCCTTAAACTGCATATTTGTCCCTTGCAACAGGAGATGACACATTTTCCAAATATTGTCAACGGTAATGTTCAAAGGCAACAGGAGTTAAAAGAATGAACTTTGAGTTCACGCAAGCTGGTTATAAATCCTAGCTCTGCTCCTGCTTTCTAAATGACCCTGGGCAAATTGCTGAACCTCTCATCCTGATTCCTTATCTCTGAGAAGAGGATATTAATATGTACTTAAGTCAAATTATTGGGATTATTAAATGAAACCATGTATTTGAAGTGCTTAGCCTGTGCTGAGCTTACAGAGCTTACAGTAATGTTTGATAAATGATAGCTCTGGCTAGTAAATGGTCTAATTTATGTGACGAAAATTGTTATTTTAATCAACAGAACCCTTTTGAACCCTGGTTCAAATGAATAATGGTAAACCCAGTCTCCTTAAAGATTCAAGGAACAATTAAAATTCTAACAGAATTGAATTAGAATTGGTTTAAAAGAGAAGACTCTTCTTTGAAAAACACATTTAAAACACTGTCTTCCTTTTAGTTCTACGAACCTCAAATCAAAGAACTTCAAGGTATGAAACAAAACACGTTTGTTTGGCTTCGCTTACTTTGTTGGGATTATTCATGTGTGCATGTGTGTAAATTACTGCCTTCTTCAGCTGAATTGTCCATGCAAATTTCTCATACCCTCAGAGAGATCATTAATTCATGAGATTTTTATAACTTAAAATCTGAAGAAAAGATAATAAATGATGTTAGTACAAATGAAGCCAGATTCCCATCCTTTGATGTTCCAGAAGGATTCCATCAGCTTGCAGACATTTTCAGCCTGGCTGAATGTAAAACAATTGCCTCCTTCAGAGACAAATGCCAAAATGTGGAGTTCCGATATAAAACATTAGAACAATTCTATGACCATTTATGAGTTTGAACCTTTCTTCGGAATCTATTTCCAAAGTGATATTTTTTTTTAGTGATATTATTTTAGGCTCATATTCAAATAAAGCAACTTAACAAGAGTAAGCTTTTTGTCATGGCACAGAAGAAAAAAGCAAAAAAGACAAACGAAAAAGGACTGAGTCTTTGTGCACACAGTAGCTGTCACCTTGTCCCTCATTCCACATCGCTCCTCTTCTGATAATTAAGTCACTTAATGTGGCTTCCAATGGACTTTGTACCTAAACAATCCCTCACCGAATCTCAGAGGCCAGGAGAGAGAGGGACGGGGAATAGGATGGGGTAGGGACAGAGGATGGAGCCAGGGCTTTGCTGCAGAAAGGTCCCAAGTGAGAAGCCAAATGGCGGGTCATCAGAAAGGACCATGACCTGAGCCAGGAGCCCCAGCTCAGGATGTACATTTCAAAGACTTTAAATTCAAGAGCTGGTGGACACTGCAGCAGGATGGAAGTTGCGTGAGGAGCAGAGTTAAGAGGGTCCTGACTGGCTGCCATGACTAGCTGCAGAATACTCCCACACCTTGCCTTGGTGGCCCGTCAGCTACATAGCAAGCTGGTGCCTTGGGAAGCCTTCAGCGTTTTCTATAATACGAACGAATGGCCGGGCTTCATACCTTCTTTCTCCATGTGTCCATTGGGCACCAACATTTTACAAGTCTCTGTCCTGAGCCCTGGAGGTACTAAACTGAAAGAAAAGGTGCTCAGGTCAGAGAGAAATGAATTAACAGGCCGGGCGCGGTGGCTCACACCTGTAATCTCAGCACTTGGGGATGCCGAGGCGGGCGGATCACGAGGTCAGGAGTTCGAGACCAGCCTGACCAACATGGTAAACCCTGTCTCTACTAAAAATACAAAAATTAACCGGGTGTCGTGGCACCAGCCTGCAATCCCAGCTACTCAGGAGGCCGAGGCAGGAGAATCACTTGAATCTGGGAGGCAGAGGTTGCAGTGAGCCAAGATCTTACTGCTGCACTCCAGCCTGGGCAACAGAGGGAGACTCTGTCTCAAAAAAGAAAAAAAAAAGAAAAAGAAATGAATGAACAAATTGATGCAGTATAATGAGCAATGGGCACAGGGCATTCTGAGAGCACAGAAGAGAAGATATAAAGACAGCAAACAAGAGGCACTGCCAGGGGGAGGGTGACAGGGCTGAGCTGATTTTCTCAGTCATTCAGATCTCATAAGCAAATGGCTAAATAGCAGTCAGCTCATATCAGTTACCAATTTCGTTACAGCAAACCACCCAAGGCATTTATTGTGGCTCCCATAACAGGAGCCATGTTTTGTGGGTCAGCCATTTGGGGCTGGGCTCAGCTGAGCTGTTCTTTTGCTGTCTTGGCTAGGGACATTCATGTCCACAGTCATCTGATAGCTCAGCTGGCATGGGATGGTCTAGTATGACCAGGCTCACCTGCCTGGCTGTTGATGCTGTTTCCTGGGTTTCTCTTTGCATCGTTTTAGAATTCCAAGAGGGCAAGGCCTAAACTCAAGAGTTTATCAAACTTCAGCCTGTATCATGTTTACTAATGTCCAATTGACCAAAGCAAGTTATTTGGCCAAGCCTAGAGCAATGTGAAAGGAAACTACATAAGTAAGGGCATGCATACCAGTAGGTACAGTTCACAAGGGCTAGTATTTCAACACTCCACCATAGCTCTCTTCTCTGAGTTATCCTAGGTAGGTTATTAGGCACCCCTGAGGAACTCCAACTCCACTTATCTCCATCCTTCACAGGGGAACAAGCTCATTCAAGGGTCTAGGTCAGGAGTCATCTCTGCTGACAGCCAAAGCCTCCAAAGCTACCCCAGCTCCTAGCATAAGGATCCCTGGGGTCAAGATCGGGCCCAGGCCCCTCACAGCCTGCCTGGGCAGAGTCTCAGGAAGCATAGCCCTCAGGCCAACAGCCCCCAATCAACACACACCAGGAGAACAAAGGAAAAGAGAAAGTCCTGGGGAAGACGGATGTTTAGGAGAAGCAAAAAGAGGACTTAGTGGCCTTGAGGTCCCCTCGAACTCCAGACATGTAATTCCTAGAGGCATAAGTACCCAGTACATTCCTGTCTCAGCAAGACCCTGGATAGTAACCCCTACTCAAAAGGTCTCCCCCGTAACTCAGGTACACATACACACTTAACCATTCTTTACAAGAACATAGAATCTTGGTGTTGTGAACAACTAGGAAGGTTTTTTGTCTGAAATCTCATTGCTCTGCTGAGTAAACTGAGGCCCAAGGTGGTTAAGTGACCAACAAAATAAGTTCAGAACCAGGAGTGGGTGTAGCAAAAGGATTAAGAATACAGAATCTTAGGTCAGGCATGGTGGCTCATGCCCATAATCCCAGCACTTTGGGAGGCCAAGACAGGACAATCACTTGAGCCCAGGAATTTAAGATCAGCCTAGGCAACACAGTGAGACTCCATCTCTACAAAAATTTTAAAAATGAGCTGGCTATGGGGGCAGACACCTGTGGTTCTGGGTACTTGGGAGGCTGAGATGAGACGATTGCTTGAGCCCAGGGGGTCGAGGCTGCAGCGAGCCAGGATCGCACTAATGCACTCCAGCCCGGGTGACAGAGTCAGACCCTGTCTCAAATAAAGAGGAAAAAAAAGAATACAGACTCTTAGTTTGTTTTAGATATTAAAGATTAGCAATCCTTGAACAGTATGATAGCTCTGGGGTTTATTTCCATACCTGATTAAATAACAATGAATTTTTTTCTTTTAAATTTATCATTATAATTTTCATCAGCTATAACTGTTAGTTAAATGTAATTTACTGTATATTTCAAAATAGCTGGAAGACAAGACTTGTAATGTGTCCAGCACATGGAAAAGATAAATGTTTGAGGTGATGGATATCTCAATTACTCTGATGAGATCATTACACATTGTATACATGGATCAAAACACCAAATGTGCCCCAAAAATATGTACAATTTTAAGAATTTTTAAATACAAAAGAAAAGGAATTCACCAAAATTATGTCCACAGAAACTAGAAACATTTAATATATCTGTGATTAGAAGTATCAAATAATATGACGAAAAATTATTAGATATGAAAGATCTGATCTTTTTATTGTTTAATCTAGTGATTAGAAAACGTGAAATATTTAAATAATCTTATTTGAAATGAGTTTTATTCCTGGAGCTTATTTGACTATAACTTTTCACTTAGAAAAGAGTCACAGATAAATCACAAACCTCTGTTGGTCATAATCACTTTTCCATTCACATTAGTTTTTTTAAAAAAAAAATAACATTTTTAGAGCAGTTTTAGGTTCACCAGCAAACACATCAGACTTTTTAGCAATAACTTGTTTTCATTAAAGAATTAAAACTTGACTATCACCATTTTAATTTTTTTATTTTTATTTTTATTTATTTTTTTATTTTATTTCATTTTTTTTGAGACAGAGTCTCGCTCTGTCGCCCAGGCTGGAGTGCAGTGGCGCCATCTTGGCTCACTGCAAGCTCCGCCTCCCGGGTTCACGCCATTCTCCTGCCTCAGCCCCCGGAGTAGCTGGGACTACAGGCGCCCGCCACCACACCTGGCTAATTTTTTGTGTTTTTAGTAGAGACGGGGTTTCACCATGTTAGCCAGGATGGTCTCGATTTCCTGACCTCGTGATCCACCCGCCTCAGCCTCCCAACGTGCTGGGATTACAGGCGTGAGCCGCCGCGCCCAGCCTCACCATTGTAATTTTTAAAATGCCAAGATGCTAAGATCAAAGTAGCTTTTATTAAATCCTATATTATTTTCTTTGAGAGATAGAGATCAAAACCTAGAACTTTTAGTCACTATTCTAATTTACTGAAGAAAGCAAATCTTCCCCTCATACACAGAGCCTAACAAAGTCAAGATCCATCTAAGGCAGGGTTTCCCCACCTCTGCACCCTGGGACTGGAGAATTCTCTGTTGTGGGGGCGTCCTGCGCACTGCAGGATGTTTAGCAACAACCTTTACACACTAGATGCCAGTAGCCCACCCAGAACACTCTCCCTGCCAGCCCTAGTCATGAGGATCAAAACATCTCCAGACATTGCCAAGTGTCTCTTAGGAAAGAATCATCCCCAGTTGAGAGCCACTGATCTAAGCAAATCAAAATCAATCAGAGCCTAATATATGTTTAATATACTCAACGTCTGCTTTCTTCACCTTCCTATAGCAAGTTACAGAAGTAATCAGAGCTACATGTGTTGATAACTCCTATATGCCAGCTAAGCATTCTCTCATTTCATCCTCCCAACAATTTTCTAATTTGGGTGTACATCCAGTAAGATCTCTAGAGGGGAATTGAGACTGGATGAAAGAGAGGATTCTAGACCTATGGAAATAGTGGTTAAAGTTGGGCAAAGGGTTGGTCTATCAGACCCTTGAGGGGGACAATGCAAATGTTATATATCAATCCTTGATATTGAATTCAAGGGCTGTGTTTGCTTTAACATCTAGATCATATATGTTTTTCTTTTTTGTTTTTTTAAGAATTCTAAGATGATAATCACTATTTATTTTTCCAATTCTTCCCCCACTGTCAACCCACCAACAAATTTACAAATCACTTTTGTTCTAGGCCTCGTAATCTTCTGATAAGAAATCTAAATTATTACCCCAAAATAATCCATCAAAAAGGTAAAATCCAGGACAGCCCTCATCAATTTGGGAAAACTGGTCACCCCACCCATACTTCACCCTTCTTTTTTGTAAATTTCTGTCGTTTGTTAAACAATCCTTCCTCTTTCTCTTTTGCATCTTTGTTGTAGCTGCAGTAAGAGAGAGGCTAGATTATCTTTTATTGAGCCTAGGCCAAATGGTCAGTGCTGCCAACTGACAATAAAATTTCCAGATCATAAAATTCAGTCATGAGGGCTTAAGTGCTAGGTGCATCATATGTTCTCACTCATAAGTGGGAGCTAAGCTATGAGGATGCAAAGGCATAAGAATGACACAGTCGACTTTGGGAACTCATGGGGGAAAGTGTGGGAAGTAGATGAGGGATAAAAGACTACTAATAGGGTGCAGTGCATACTGCTCAGGTGATGGGTGCACCAAAATCTCACAAATCACCACTAAAGAACTTACTCATGTAACCAAACACCACCTGTTCCCCAAAAACCTATGGAAATAAAAAAACAAACGTTTTTTAAAAGAAAAAAATTTTCCAACAGAGAGATAAGAGGAAGGAAACCTTCTGCTGCTACTCCCAAAGACATTTCCATTTTCGAAGAAACTTTTCCAGCCTGCAGATAGATCACGTATGTTTTTCAATACTCAACAGAAGGTCCTTCGTATACTTTATAAAGACTAAGATCCAACAACAGTGATCACAGAGAGTTTTTTTTTTTTTAGCAAATAAGGAGAAAATCCATATCCATATCTTGTGCAAAATGTGCTGGGTCCCTAAACTTTTGGTTTCAATGTGTTTCTATCCCAAACCAAAATATTCTTGGGAGCTTTATCCATTTAGCAAGCTTGCTCCTTCAAAGAAAATAGAAAAACTTAAATTGCTTAGGACTTTGCATATAACACATCATGCTAAAAATAGCAGACATCTTCACCTAATCCTTCCAACATCTCTGTGAAGGGAGTTTCATCCCCAGGTTTCTGCTGTGGTGACTGAGGTTCTGAGAACCTCCGTTTCACTGATCAGCAGTGACAGAGGCTGGATTGAACTTTGTGGAATGACAAAACAATGCCCTTGGTGTTTCAGCCCTTATCCCAGAGTTCTGCACCACACCAGTCAGTGCATAGTAGCGATTAAGGGTGAAAATGCATTACATTAAAATAAGAAGGAAGTTTTAGGTTAAATATGATGTTTGAGAAAAATATCTTCTATGTGGCACTGGAGATAGACATGTGTGTTTGGAAATATCTTGTACGTGATATTTTGGGTAGAAATGAAGTGAGCTGACGGAAAAGAATTTGAAGAACATAACTCAGCAAGAATATGTCTCCAGGAAAAAGCAATTTTAAAGGAAGCAAGAAAGAGGAACCGAGTTCGGGATACAGCTTGGGCGAACCCAAGGCATCTTCCTAGGAGAAAGGTCTGACTGTGGAGACAATGAGATTGCATTGAGCTTGCTTGCTGAGGAGTTCCTGGCACAGTGCCTTTCTCCCCCTGGTTTTGTTGTGATCAAGGTAAGTTAACCAGGTGTCCATGAGTTCGTGGTAAACTCCCCTCCCATGCATCACATCACTGCATGGAAGGAAACCTGAGAGGGAAGAAGAGGGGCTGTCGATGCTAATTGTATTTTCATTCAAGCTCTCTGGATTGCAAGAGATTTAGGGACTGTGCACCATGAGCAAGCTACTCTTCCCAAATTTGTGATCATCCTCCATTTGCCGCTAGGGGACTTAGATCATCACAGCACATTTAGGTTTCCTGACAAGCTAACATCAGGAGCACGCTGCATCTGGCCTCCGTGTTTAGTGGCGTGGTCAGGGAATTCTTTGAGTTCAAGATCCCTGTTCCCAAATTCAAAGAGTGAAGGAAGAAAGACAAATGCAAAGCCCCAGACAGGCAGGCTGTGTCCTGGCTGTGAAGCCAGGTTGTAAGTTGGAGAAGCACAGCTTCACATCTGGAAAAGGGGGTCGACAGCACCCTGAGGGTGTGGGGCAGGCAAGAGCCTACCAAGCCCTGTCCTCTGGAAACCGGATGTCAGCAACAGGAGCAAGGGAGGCAGCTGTCACTCCAAGGGCTGACAAGCCCTTGAGGCAGCTCCGATCTGATGAGAATTTGGAGGCATTTGTTTCCTTCCTCCCACTGACCTTTGTCAGCAGCAGGTTATCAGCCCCACACCTACCTGTTCCCCCACCAGGCTGTAATAGTCATGCACCTACCTGTTCCCCCACCAGGCTGTAATAGTCATGCACCTACCTGTTCCCCCACCAGGTTGTAATAGACATGCACCACCCGCACGCACGAGAGCATCCCCCACCAGGTTGTAATAGACATGCACCGCCCGCACGAGAGCATCCCCCACCAGGTTGTAATAGACATGCACCGCCCGCACGAGAGCATCCCCCACCAGGTTGTAATAGACATGCACCGCCCGCACGAGAGCATCCCCCACCAGGTTGTAATAGGCATGCACCACCCGCACGAGAGCATCCCCCACCGGGTTGTAATAGACATGCACCACCCGCACGGGAGCATCCATTTTAATCACAGATCTGGTGGAGAAAATATCATCTTTCCCCTAGCACCAAAGTTGGTATATTATGGAGTAGAATACCAAACTCACAAGAATTTCTTTTTTTTTTTTTTTTTGAGACAAGAGTCTCTGTCTCCCAGGCTGGAGTGCAGGGGCGCCATCTCGGCTCACTGCAAGCTCCGCGTCCCGGGTTCACGCCATTCTCCTGCCTCAGCCTCTAGAGTAGCTGGGACTACAGGCGCCCGCCACCACGCCCGGCTAATTTTTTGTATTTTTAGTAGAGACGGGGTTTCACCGTGTTAGCCAGGATGGTCTCGATCTCCTGACCTCGTGATCCACCCACCTCAGCCTCCTAAAGTGCTGAGATTACAGGCGTGAGCCACCGCGCCCGGCCCATGACTTTCTAAAAGTTAAAAAAGATTCTAAAAGTTAAAAAAGATTCTAAATATCATACCTGAGCGGAACCACTTAAAAGACTGTCCCCCTCCTCAGATCTCGGGGGGAGGGGAGGAGAGGTGACGTGAGGGTGAGGCATTTACTTGTTTGGGGTGTTCAGGGTACTTCTGGGGGAACTTGAGAAGCCCCTTCCCACCCCCACCCAGTGAATCTGGACTTCTGGGTGCACACCGGTCTGAGGAGAGCTCCCAGCAGGGCCCGGGTACTGGGCCCCCATCTCTTTTCTCTCACTGGTTTTAAGGGTGTCAGAGGCCAGCAGGTACCTACAGATCTAAACCCAGAAAGAGCACCCTCAAACTCCTCTTAGTCCCTTGAGCAAGCTCCCTTGGTATGAAATCTGAAGCTGCCAAACAATGCAAAAGAAAAAGGAGTCAAGACTGGGAAAAGAAGAAGAGGAAAATAACAATTTAAGATGCATTTCTTTCTTCCCAGAAGCTCAGCGTCTGGTAATAATGGATTAGAAACACTACTTCCCTTTCCCTCAGCCAGGAGATCAGGCAGCAAGTACTCCCAGTTGGAGGTTTTCACCAGGGTTTTATTTCGTCTGAGTTTTTTGTTTTGGTGTTTTGTTTGTTTTTCAGGAAACAGAGAATTTTTAAAAGGACAATTCATGAGGTTTTTCATTTTTCTTTAACTTTTGTTTTGACGTGAGATACAAGCGTTCCCATTGTGGAACATGAAATATGTACATATGTAATTCCTGAAAGTCCCTTTAGCCCAAAATAGGAAGAAAGGCAGACAGACAATCTTTGGGGAGGCGATACCTTTCTGGCAGGGATTGAATTGTCCAGGATAACGCTGTCCAGATTCCAGCCTAGACGTGTGCGCCGAGGGGCCTGCAGGAGATCTGGGAATTATTAACTGCAAGAGCAGCCCTGCACACTTTTCAGTTCTGCTTGCAGCTGCAAGGGAGAATTCTGAAGGCAGGGTGCAAGGTGTTGTTGTTAGCAGAAAGCCGCCTCCAGCGTGAATGATGTGCAGCTGCTCACTCCCCCCTCCCCCACAGCCAAGTGCAGGCGTTTTGAAGGGAGTGCTAGAGCTCCTAAAGTGATGAAAAGGAAACACCTTCCTAACCCGAAGGTGTTTCTAATTACAGCAGCTAATTACCAAACCTCCACTGCATTTAATTGCCACAAACAGAATCACAAAAGAACAATTAACAAGTAAAGCCCTGTACTAACAGTTATGCCTAAAAAGGAAGTAGAGAGAGGGAGGGAGAGAGGAGGGAAAAGAAAGGGACTCTAAATCCTGTAGTCTGTTGTGAGCAGGTATACAGTTATTGTAAATAGTTTCTATGAACATTTACTTGTGAAATCTCAGGGCATTAAGTCTGCCAAAATCATCAGCTCAAAGTAGTGAAATTGATAACTGGTGAATGAACAACCAAGACCAATTATTTATGTTTTTGTTCACCTGAGTTTCTCAAGCTTCTGCTCGGCTCATATTGATCCCAGTTGGCTCAAGACATCTGTTTTTCCAGTTTTGTCAACATCCCCAGAGTTGCTTTTCATAAGTTATGATTTTGACAAAAACTTAGAAAGGAGTGTGTTGATCTCACAGCAAAAAATGTGGCTTATCTCTAAAATGGAAAAGCGAAAATTCCTGAAGTTCAAGTGCTTGCACATGACACAGCTCACACACAAAAAACTCTATACCTGCTGTTACGGGTTGAATTGTGCCCACTCCCCTTCATATGTTGAAATCCTGAGCCCCAGTACTTCAGAATGTGACCTTATTTGGAAATAAGGTTGCGGCAAATGAATTAGTTAAGGTTGTTACAGAAGGTAGCTAGTTAGGCATGAGCGGGACAGAAGAGGGCTCCCCGAACCCACACCCCAACAGGAAAGTCAGGTGGCCACCAGGTGATGGTCAGGCAGTTGTCACACTGTGACAGCCAGCACCAGGGAAAGGCAATTTCCCTGTAGATAGAAAACACCTGAAATTGGTGATCAACAGATTCTTCTTCTTTTTTTTTTTTTTTTTTTTTCCCGAGATGGAGTCTCGCTCTGTCGCCCAGGCTGTAGTGCAGTGGCGCGATCTTGGCTCGGCATGATCTTGGCTCACCACTACCTCCGCCTCCTGGGTTCAAGTGATTCTCCTGCCTCAGCCTCCTGAGTAGCTGGGATTTACAGGGGCACACCACCACACCCAGCTAATTTTTGTATTTTTCGTAGAGACGGGGTTTCATCATGTTGATCAGGCTGGTCTTGAACTCCTGACCTCTTGATCCGCCCGCCTCGGCCTCCCAAAGTGCTGGGATTACAGGCATGAGCCACCATGCCCGGCCGACAGCTTCTTAATAAGATCTCAGGAATTGGGCTTGGGCTCCAGCATGTGCATTATGAGGCAAAATGGCAGAGGATGACCTTCCGGGGGCATTTCAGCAGAAAAGGGAAGAAGGCCTCAGGAGAGGATGCTTGCGACTCCAGTCAACACACTGCGCATGCTCACCTCTCAAGCGCTAGCAGGCCATGGCTCATGTGGGCCGGTCACCCTAAGGGAAGGATCAAAGAAAAGGGACACAGGACGGAGAAGTATGCCGATGTGTAAAACCCTAAGTCAAAGGCCACATGCCGCACTTGACCTCCAAAATGTCCACTTGGCCCTCTTCCAAGTGCACTTGACTTCCTTTTCATTCCTGCTCTGAAGCTTTTTAATACACTTTCACTCCTGCTCTAAAACTTGCCTCCATCTCTTCTTCTGCCTCACGCCCTTCAATCGAATTCTTTCTTCTGAAGAGGCAAGGATCAAGGTTGCCGCAGACCCTTACGGATTCACCGCTGGTGACTTGGATAACTTCTGCTGGTAACAAGATGAGAGTCATGCTGGAGCGACGAGGCCCTAATCCAATTTGACCAGTGTCCTTATAAAAAGAGGAAATTTTCACACACACACACACACACACACACACACACACACACAGAACACCATAGAAAGATGAAGGCAGAGTGATGTGCCACAAGCCAAGGAACACCAAAGATTGCCAGCAAGCCGCCAGAAGTTAGAAGAGAGGCATGGAACAGATTCATCCGCACGGCTCTCAGAAGGAACCAACCCTGCCACATCTTGATCATGGACTTCTAGCCTCCAGAACTGTGACATGATAAATTATAGCAGCCCAGCCAACTAATATAGCTACTGATTCTACCTCATGATGCCCTTGCCATTGGGCCTCTGCCCTATTTCCCCATTTGCCACCACACTCGTTCAGTTGTTCATCACCTTCTACCTGGACCATTGGAACAGCCTCCTAGCTGCTCTGCTGCCTCCAGACTTTGCCATCATCCAGCGTCCCCTGCACCAGGGTGAGCTTTCCTTACTACAACTCTCACCATAGACTCTGTTAACTCAAAATATTAGAGACAGGTCTCCATCAATTAAGAAAGTTTTTTTGCCAGGGTTAAGGACACACTTGTGACACAGCCTCAGGAGGTCCTGATGACATGTGCCCAAGGTGGTCGAGGTACAGCTTGCCTTTTGTTTTTTTTGTTGTTGTTTTTTTTGAGATGGAGTCTCGCTGTCTCCCAGGCTGGAGTGCCATGGAGTGATCTCGGCTCACTGCAAGCTCCGCCTCCCGGGTTCAAGTGATTCTCCTGCCTCAGCCTCCTGAGTAGCTGGGACTACAGGCTCCTGGCACCACGCCTGGCTAATTTTTTGTATTTTTAGTAGAGACGAGGTTTCACCATGTTAGCCAGGATGGTCTTGATCTCCTGACCTCGTGATCCGCCCGCCTCGGCCTCCCAAAGTGCTGGGATTACAGGCGTGAGCCACTGCACCCCGCCAGCTTGCCTTTTTTTTTTTTTTTTTTTTTTTGAGATGAAGTCTTGCTCTGTTGCCCAGGCTGGAGTGCAGTGGCATGATCTCGGCTCACTGCAACCTCCACCTCCTGGGTTTAAGCGATTCCCCTGCCTCAGCCTCCCAAGGGGCTGGGACTACAGGTGCGTGCCACCATGCCCAGCGAATTTTTGTATTTTTGGTAGAGACGGGGGTTTCATCACGTTGGCCAGGCTGGTCTCAAACTCCTGACCTCGTGATCTGCCCACATCAGCCTCCCAAAGCGCTGGGATTACAGGTGTGAGCCACTGCACCTGGCCATGCTTGCTTTTTTACAGTTTAGAGAGACATGAGACATCAATATGTGCAAGATGAACATTGGCTCTGTCCGATAAGGCAGGACAGTACAACTTGAAGTGGGGTCTTTCAGGTTAGAAGTAGATAAGAGACGAAAGGTTGCATTCTTTTGAGTCCTTGATCAGCCTTCCACTGAATACACCATTTAGACTGGGTCAGTGAATCTGCATTATTACATAAAAAATAAGGCAGAGGAAGCAATCAAATATGCGTTTGTCTCTGGTGAGCCTCAGCAGGGATGACTTTGAGTTCTGTCTGTCCTTTGTCCACAAGGAATTTCCTTGTGGAAAATTGTGAAGGAGGTATGTCGCTTCTTAACTCTGTACCTATCTTATTTAGGAATAAAATGGGAGGCAGGTCTGTCTGACATAGTTCCCAGTTTGACTTTTCCCCTGACTTAGTGATTTTGAGGTCTCGAGATTTATTTGCCTTACACAGCTCTCAGGATTGGAATAATAATAAAAGCAATAAGAAATTAATAACCTCTTGATGAGTGTATTGTAAATATCAGGCATTGTGCAAGGCATAAGAAAAAGAAACGTAAAACGTAGTCCCTATTTTCCAGGAGCTCCCAACCAAATGGGGTGGGTGAGGGCAGGTACGTACTAGATAATTAGAGAGATGGTGCAATATGCATAGGGCACCATGGAGGCTGGGCATCGCTGGAGTAGGGGACATATTGTGAGGGGGTCTCCAGAAATGAAAGATTCCTGAGCGGAGTCCCAAAACACTGGATCTCAATTCTGGCTGCATTCTACAATCACCTGGGAAATTTCACCAGTGTAGATACCTGTGTCTGACTGGCCCCCAGACGTTGATGTAATCGGCCTGGGATGCAGCTTGGTTTTAGGAAGTTGCAAAAGATCTCCAGGTGAGTCTAACGGGCAGCCAGTTTTGAGAACCTGTGTCCTAAAGCACTGATTTTCTGCAAATTGGAATCACCTGGAGAGTTCTAATAAACTCCGATGGCTGGGTCCCACCCCTAGAGATTGGATTTAATTGGTTTGGGTGCTGCCAGAAACTAAAGCATTTTTTAATGCTCCCCAGGTGATTGTAATGCACAGACGAGGTCAAGAACCACTGCCTGAGAGGAATGCTTCTCAAAATTGAATGTGCATAGGAATCAGCTGGAGATCTTGTTAATATGCAGATTCCTAGTCAGTAGGTCTAGGGTGAGGTCTGAGGTCTTACCTGTCTAAGGGAGGCCCTAGGTGCTGATGTCCCTAGTCTTGCAGCCACACTTAGATTAGCAAGGCCCTAAGGAATGAGCACAAGTCCTCCAGGTGGAACTAATGTGGTCCTGAACTAGGATGGTGCTACAGGAGAGAGAACAAGGGATGGACTAGACAGATTCTTAGCAATTATTCAGTGAGACCTGATATTTGATATGCATGTGAGAATGAGAAAGATGAGGGCTACAGTCGGGTTTCTAGCATGGAAGCCTCAGCCTTCATATTCACCACAAGAACATCCCAAATAATGCCAAAGACTTGCTGGATTTTTGGTCTGTTTCATGTTTACCAAGTACCATCTCCAGTGCTCCAGCTCAAATGTCCTTTCCTTTGTCATCGTCCCAGACACCTCGCAGACAGAATCAATCATGCCTTCCTTGCTTTTCTTTTTTTCTTTATTATTATTATTATTATTATTTTTGAGATGGAGTCGTGCCCTGTCGCCCAGGCTGGAGTGCAGTGGCGTGATCTCAGCTCACTGCAACCTCCGCTTCCCGGGTTCAAGCGATTCTCCTGCCTCAGCCTCCCGAGTAGCTGGGATTACAGGCGCGTGCCACCACACCTGGCTAATTTCCTTCCTTGCTTTTCTTTCCTCTTTCCCCAAAACAAAAAGTGCAAATCTTCATGCTTGCGGGGTGGGCCACGTCAGCATGTGCTTGAGAGAGCAGGCTGGGTGGCAGATGTGAGAACAGGAAAGAGCTCATGCCCTATATAAAGGAGCGGTAGCTACTCAGATGCCCCTGTGTGTGGCTTCACAGGAATATGGACCCAGTGTTGCCAGATCATTCATTTTCTAAGAAAAGCTGAAAATCTAGAATTTTCAGATCATTCATTTTCTAAGAAAAGCTGAAAATCTAGAATTTTATGTGAAAACTCCAGGGTGTTAGAGGTTGGCAATTCAAATATTTTCAAACATCCTGTGGGCCAAACAAAATGGATGTGTGGGCTCAAATATAGCTGGGGACCCCTTATTCATGACCTGTGCATCTTGTATCCTGCCACTTCCCAGTACACAATGACTGCTGTAACAGAGCTAACCTGGAATGCCATTTCAGCGAAGATGAAGAAGGGCCAGCTAGGGGGCCTTGAACCGCTTGGGTGTGACCAGAACAAAGGTTGGGTGGGGTGGGTGAGTATAGGAGGAGAGTGTAGCACTGACAGGTAAAGCTAAGAAGCAGACTGATACTAGGCCAAGAGACTCTGAAAATCAAACAAAGGCAACTTGGACTTGATTCTGGAGATGATGGGGCCTGTGCTGGCTTGTGCTTTGGGAAGAAAGAAGGCAAATGTGTCCCACTCCACTTTATCTT
Organism: Homo sapiens; assembly: GCF_000001405.40. Classification (NCBI taxonomy): domain Eukaryota; kingdom Metazoa; phylum Chordata; class Mammalia; order Primates; family Hominidae; genus Homo; species Homo sapiens. The sequence goes on along the minus strand of NC_000015.10, from coordinate 93,326,172 downwards.
TGTTTCTTTCTAGAATGTAGCCCTTTGTGGCCTAGTGCCACAGGTCTGCTTTTATCAAAGGATGCAGCGTGACCAACTCAAATGTCTTCGGGAACCATTCTGCAAACCTATATGTGTGTATCCAGCCAGGTATAAGACAGTTATAATTTGGGAATTGTGGGGTATTGGCCAGCTGGAGATAATTAGACATTCAGATCCAAAATTTCAAAAAATATTGTGGATGGAGAAAAAAAATTGCCCTAGAAGTTCTAGCTTGCAACCTCTGGATAAAGGTTTTCTTAACCTCAAAAGATACTACTGGTACCCTCAAAAAGCACTATAGCCACCATACTTTGTCACTGATTCAAAAATATGAAGACCAGTGGTAGTGATCCTTGTGGTCGCATGTTCACCTCGTATCTCTTAGTGTATAAATGATAGGGCTGCAAGATGTCAACTGACGAAGCAATGAGAACATCCTAGGGTAGCAACTCAAGAGCCAGCACAAGGGTGGGAAGGGTGAATCCTAATCCCAAATGGACATATAGTCCTAATGACAGGCCTGCCACATAGTTTGTGACATATCAGCTTTTAAAGGTTTGTTTAGTTTTAATTAAAATTATACAGGATCATAGAACAAAATCAAAGGTGAGTGTGAAAAGGAAAGTAAAAGTTCCCTTCTGCTACCAGTCTAACAAGATATACTAATAATAATATTGGTTAACAAAGTGTATCTTCATAATATAATATTAATTATATAAATTAATATTAATAATATCTTAACAGTTAATATAAAAGGGAGGAGATTTGGGAGTAATAATGCTTTGAAAGACAGTTGAGTTTACATCAGAAAAATAAATGAGGGTGAAAAGATAATTAAGTATTTTTTTATTTTTTTTTTAGACAGAGTCTTGCTGTGGCCCAGGATGGAGTGCAGTGGCGTGATCTCGGCTCAGTGCAAGCTCCACCTCCCGGGTTCACGCCATTCTCCTGCCTCAGCCTCCTGAGTAGCTGGGACTAGAGGTGCCCGCCACCACGCCCGGCTAATTTTTTGTATTTCTTAGTAGAGACGGGGTTTCACCGTATTAGCCACGATGGTCTCGATCTCCTGACCTTGTGATCCACCCGCCTTGGCCTCCCAAAGGGCTGGGATTACAGGCATGAGCCACCACACCCGGCCAAGTAAGTATTTTTTAAATACTGAAATTTAAAAAAAAATCTTAATAGCAAAATACTCTGCAAAATATCATGGTAAAATAAATACTTTAAAAAAATAAATTAACTCTTTAAAATGCTGGAAGGAGAAAAATCTGTCAACCCAGAACTACATAGCCAGAAAAAATATCTTTCAAAAATAAGGGCAGAATAGAGACTTTTTAGATAAGGGAAAGCTGAAAAAAATTCATTGGCAGCAAGCCTGAACTATGACAGTTCTTCAGTCTACAGGGAAAGAATACTAAGTGGAAACTCAAATATATAAGAAGAAATGAAAAATTTGCTGGAAATGGTAAACATGTAGATACATATAACACAGTACTGTCTAATTTCTTTAAAAGACAACGACCATTTAAAGGAAAGCAATATTGTATTGTGGGATTTATAAACTATGTAGAATTAAAATACAAGATAGCAATAACACAATCATCATCTTTCAGGCCACTGTCCCCTCCTTACTTACTCCCCTGCTAAGCCCAGACATTATGAACAAGAACTGGATTTAAATTTTGGCACTACCACTTCCTAAGCAACCTCTGTCAAATCATTCAAATTCTCTAAACCTCAAATTCCTAGTCTCAATGTTGGTGGTTTTATCACCATCTCCACAGGCTTAGAGTGCAGGCAGGAGCATGTCGGCCTGGGCTGTGAGCCCAGGGTTTTGGTCCCCAGAGCCCACTGAACCCCAGTGCTGTACAGTCGCACTGTGATGCCATAAAGTATCTATGTGACCATGGCAAGCCACTCACTGACGCTGGTCCCCAGAAGCTCATCCATCAACCACGCACACCCACTAGCCTGCTCAGCTACCATTTGGCACCTTTTCCCCGGTCCCAGCCTCTCTTCATGGGGCAATACCCTCCCCCTGGAGGATAAGCCCAGCACTGTTGCTGCATCCCCTGGTGCCCATCCATTGAGAGACCAGTGGGTATCCCACCCTTCTGCTGGTTACTGCACTGCCACTGGGCACCACAGACTACTAACACTGAACCCGAACGTTCAAGTCATCAAAGGGTCAATGACCAAGCAGAGAACCCTCAGGATGTGTGATCACAGGATAGCCAAAGAGGAAGTATAGTCCCCTCCAGGTGACAGTACCACATCAGCATGTCCTTGCCCAAAATCATTCCTGAGTACCTACTATGTGCCAGACATTGTGCAAAGCATTGAAAACACAAGTTAAGAAAAACACATGCTGAAATTTTGGGGGCAGGTGACATGGGGTAGACAGACACACCTCAAAGAAGACAAATTTAACACAGAGCCATCAAAACAATAGCAATACTGTCAGGTCACCTTCATGGAGTATCCACAATATGCTACGCACCCTTGTGTCAGTTCTCCAGGGCCACCGTAACAAATCACCACAAACTTCGTGGCCTAAAACAACAGAAATTCATTCTCACACCGTTCTGGAAGCTAGAAGTCCAAAACCAAGATATCAGCAAGGCCACACTTTCTCCAAAGACTCTAGAGGAGAATCCTTCCCTGCCTCTTCCCACTTCTGGTGGCTCCAGACGTTTCTTGAATTGTGGCTGTGTCACTCCAGTTTCTGCCTCCATCTTCACATAACCTTCTTCTGTGTCTCTTTTTCTTAAATCTACCTCTGCCTTTCTCTATAAGGAACCTGTCATTGAATTTAGGGCACATCCTAAATCCAAGGAAATCTCATCTCGAGATCCTTAATTCCATCTGCAAAAATCTTTCTTCCAAATACGGTTACATTCTGAAGTCCCCAGTGGACATTTCTTTAAAGGGCTACAATTCAACCCACTATAGCCCTTTATAGACATGGACTTCCCCAGGCCTCAAAACAATCTTCTAAGGCAAATACTGTTAATACCCTCATTTTACATATGGTGAAACTGAAGCCCAGAGAAGCTAACGCTTTGCCCAAAATGACATGATTAATAATGTGAGAGCCAAGATTTGAACCTTGGTCTCTCTGATGTCTTGATGCTACTTTTTAGAACCTCCCATTCTTTATACATCCCATGAGAGTTGGAAGCAGACTGGGCTAATCCAACCTTCACAGTCAGAGACATGTTCTCAGATGGAGGTAGAGCTAAACCCAGCACTGATAGATGAGTAAGTTGAACCAGAAGAAGAAACCAGGAAGGGGCATCCAAGCAGCGGAAGTAGCATGGCCCAGGGAACAGTCTAGTTTACTGCCAAGGAACAGTACATCACTCATGATAGCTGCTGCATGGGGTGCAAGAGAGAGAAAAATGAGCAGCCCCAGAAACAGAGCTCTACAAGGTCAGGGCCCAGAGGTCTTTGGGTGCCAGAGGGAAGCTGACCTTTGTCCTACAGGCTGTAGGGAGCCATTGAACTGGGTGAAGCAGAACAGGTATATAAGCTAGGGTAGGACTGTGCAAATGCTAGACTGTGGGGCACACTGGCCAACATGGAAAAGTTACCCAACTCCTATTGGCTGTCCCCACCTGGTTGTTCTGCTCTAAGCCTGCTGGTGTAAGGACTGGTAGAGTTGGTGCCACTCAGGGCCGCTTGTTCCCAGGCCCCAGCTCCAACACTCATCTCTGCCTGCTGGGCTTAGAATCTAAGCCTAACTCTCAAACATACTGACATTTGAAAAAGGCATTTCTGATAGAAATGAAAATGGGGTGGTTACCTCAAACGAGCAACGGCAACGCAGGAGTCATACATTATTGGCTTACTGCTGGAAAGGTCATGAGCACCCGGAGGCAGTCCGTCTCTCTCCCCGAGGCCCAGGAAGGCCGAGTTGATCAAAGCCCCTGCACACACAAGCAAAGCACCCAAGGAATGTATCAGGAAGGTGAAGGTAAACAGGACGCAGCTAAGGGCCCAAAGCAAGGGGAGCAGTGGCTGCCTCCCAAGTTGTGGCTATCCTGAGGGACCCAGACCACAGCCTAGAGGGTGAGCAGAGGGGGACATTGGCAGAACAGATGATTTTAACCTTGCTAGCAGCAGCACCCATTCTGACTGCCTGTGAACTCAGCCGCCCAGTTCCTGCTATGCATGCCTGTGGCCGATGCCGGGTAGACTCAGGGCGGGGCTATTTGCTCACTGGAATCCTGTGCATTTTGTGGGCAGTGAGAGTGTCACAGTTAGACCTGAGCTTCACTGTGAAAATATTCATGCTTCACCGGGAGAAAGCTAATGGGTGATGATAGGAGGGTGCCCCTTAAATGGGCTCTAAGGACAAGCAATGGTTGCTGGGCTCCAGCCTCTGCGCAAGCCTCTCGGGATTTTGAGTTAAACACTAGTAAGATCTCTTCTCACATGTCTTGTTGCAGTGTTCCATGAACTGGACAATCTTTTTCTTTTCTTTTTTTTTTTTTTAAGAAGTACACATTTTCCGTGGTTTACCAAGTTTGACAAAATCAAAGAATTGAGAGAAATGTTGATGAACTAGAGAGAAAGGGCTGATAGCTCAGGTAATTATGCTTGATTTCAGTTCAACACTTATGGAGAATCTACTATGTGGCAGACACCAGGCAGTGTATTTTACGGCCTAATAGCTTGGGCTCCTCTCTTCTCAGGTGCCACTCAGGACCCTGGGGCCCTTGCACTTATGTAACGATTCAGCCTCAACCTTTCTCCTCTGTTCCCTGCCTGCCTTCCAGGTATGAGATACCACAGGGCAAAGAATACAGCAGTTTCGTATGCAGAGCCAGGCTGCCTGGGATCAGTCTTGGCATTCCCACCTCCACGTGGCTCAGTTTCCTCATCTATAAAATGGGTAATAATAGTACCTACCTCATAAGGTTGCCCTGAGGATAAGCAAATTATCTGCTGGAAAGTGCTTAGGCCAACGCCAGGCACCTAGTGCGTCCTCTGCAAGCTCCATCTCTTATTCAGGGAGCCTCAAGTCCCCCAGTTTCATATCCTCGGTGCCAGGTTTCCTTAGCCAAGTGTGCCAAGGGAACTTCCGCAACTTTTTTTTTTTTTTTTTTTTTTTTTGAGACGGAGTCTCGCTCTGTTGCCCAGGCTGGAATGCAGTGGCGCGATCTCTGCTCACTGCAAGCTCCGCCTCCTGGGTTCATGCCATTCTTCTGCCTCAGCCTCCCAAGTAGCTGGGCCTACAGGCACCCGCCACCACACCCGGCTAATTTTTTGTATTTTTAGTAGAGACGGGGTTTCACTGTGTTAGCCAGGATGGTCTCGATCTCCTGACCTCGTGATCCGCCCGCCTCGGCCTCCCAGAGTGCTGGGATTACAGGCATGAGCCACCGCGCCCGGCCTCACTTCTGCATCTTATAAACTTTTTTCAGCCCCACATCTCTCCCAAACAAGCCCCTCTCCTGGTTAAATTGTTCTCGCTACCACTGATCACAATATTGCTTCGCTAGCCATAACTTTTAATAATTTACTGGATTCATTTAAAGTGTTTTTAATTACAAATGTTCTAGTTCAGTTAGATACAAAATTAAATGCAGCAAGTAATTTTATTTTCTCCATATATTATCTCCCGAAATTGGAGTAGCTTAGTGCATCCTTATTGTCAAAGGGTTTCTCAGCCCACGTGATTCTGTAGGAAAGGAACTTCCCACTGTTTGCTGAAGATGTCAACCACTAGTGAGGTAGAGGCAGGAAGTGGAGCAAATACCATCAAGCTGATGGACAGCATATGTTTGTCTCTCCGGTCAGAAATTCACACTTGGGGAACACTAGTTCATTCTCCTACCTGGCCCTTTAACTTTCTCAGGATCTCCCTGACAAGTAGCCTTCAACCTCAACACCGTCAGTGTCTCTCACGGCAGTTCAGCTAGAGACACAGAAGAAAAAAGATGGGCTCGATGTAAGTCAGGTGAATGGGTGTCTGGGTAAGAGTTTGTGTGTAGCAGATGCCAATGGGGTGGGGGAGGGAGAGCGGGAGGATATTGGCTATCTCATGGCTGGAAGATTTGTAAGTAAGTAGCAGGAAAATTATTTCTATGACAAACTTGTTAGGGTTTATGAGATCGCTTAAGGGAAAGAACTTTGAGACTGAAAAAAGTGCTACATAAATGGACTGTTTTGAAAGGGGAGTACAGTCAATTAGTAAGCTTTCCAAAGTCAGAGGACTTTGTCGTACACGCACTTTTTACACTTGGTAATAGAATGTTGGATAAAAGTCACAGGTTGGTGGAATGAGTTGACTTATTCTCACTCTTCATTACTCTTAAATAAATATTGGGTCTGAAGGCAGGAGTTCTGGAAGGAGAGCCATGTGCGTACGGTGTTTCAGCCCCATTTGGCATATTAGGAAATTTGGAACTAAAAAATTTGTAGCCAAGGGTACATGCCTACGAAGTGACAGAGCCAGCGCCAGACCAGGGCTGTCTGCTACCCGAAGCTCACAGACCATTCCAGGAAAAGGCCCAGTCACGGCTAGGCCTGGGTGTCTACACCCTTTATGTTGCCAGATTTAGGGATTAAGTCAGATTCTTAACTTTAACTCGGCCCAAGCAGTTTCCTCCCAGGGCTGATACTGACAAAACACTGCATTTTGGTTGAAAGGACTGTGCAGTCAGCCTCTTCGCCTCTTCTGTCAGGAGTTCTTGTGGAAGCACTGACGCCAGTGCCATCTCGGAAAGCGTGGCATCCTCCCTTCTTTCCATCTCAAACTCCATGGCTGGGCAATCGGGGCAGGAGGCAAAGGGGGCGGGGTTAGGGGCGGGGGTAGCAGAGGGTGGGGCCGGCAGAGGGTGGAGTTAGAGGTCCTGTTCAGGTACCTCTCCAGCATTTGGTCAGGCCCTGCCGACCCAAGTTTGCATCCTGGAAGGCTCTCTCAGGCACCTTGTGCCATTTTATGGGCAAAGTACGTGAAGGTCATCGTGCCATCCTTGGAAGAGGCAGGCTGTGCGTGAAACAAGGGCCTGTCTGCTCTGCCCCATGGAGGATTCCAGAACAGGGTCTGCACATACACTGCCCAGGCTCGAGATTTAATGGTTCCCCTCCCTAAGTTTGTCACACACGAGATGGTTTTGGGTGGTACAAGTGGAAACACTTTTTATGGCACTTATGCATTTATTTTAATGCATATTAGCTATGTGTAGCCCAGCTAACCTGTGATTTCACAGATACTGCTTAGGAAAAGCTAATTTCATAGATCTATAGAACATTTGATGTATTAGTGATGTACCGTTTCCATGTCTCCAATTAGCTCCATACTGGAGCAAGAACATATACACATCACCCTCCCAAGTATGAGAAAGAGTGAGAAGAAACAACATTTCAGAGGTGTCTTAGCATGTTAGATGGGAATATAGGAAAGAGGTGAGGAACAAGTGTTCTGAAGTCAAATTGCCTGGGCTGGCCATGCTGGTCTTTTAATTTCCTAGCTGTGTGACCAAGGGGCAAGTGCCTTAATCTCTCTGTATTACTTTAAGTGTTGAGCCATTAAAATTTGTTGAGTCGGCCGGGCACAGTGGCTCATGCCTGTAATCCCAGCACTTTGGGAGGCCGAGGCAGGCGGATCACGAGGTCAGGAGATCGAGACCATCCTGGCTAACACGGTGAAACCCCGTCTCTACTAAAAAATACAAAAAAATTAGCTGGACGCGGCGGTGGGCGCCTATAGTCCCAGCTACTAGAGAGTCTGAGGCAGGAGAATGGTGTGAAACCGGGAGGCGGAGTTTGTAGTGAGCCGAGATCGTGCCACTGCACTCCAGCCTGGGCGACAGAGCGTGACTCCATCTTAAAAAACAAACAAACAAACAAACAAAAAAAGAATTTATTGCGTCCTTTGTTACTGCAGCTAGCAATGTCCTCATACTGCCCCCATGGAAAACCCTGGAAAAGGATGTTCTCATCTGTAAATGTAGCCATTTGAAAAGGCATAAAGTTACCAAAACTAAAAGCAGTGATTTACAACATTTAATAACTTAGTATTGTTGGAAATAATAACATAACATAATGTGTTCACGCCTGTACAATTTTTAAAAAATTATTCTGCTAATCGAAATCATCAGAGTTAGCAAAGATGCCGCCAGTGTGCTTGGAATTTAGCTCTTTGAGTAGGTGCAGGTCTGCTGCCCTCAGGCTACCACACTGGCTAGGCTTTCTCAGTCACTGATTGGGTCTGCACCAGGCAGCAAAGATTTCACTGTCATAGACCTGCAGGCAGATGAGCTCTAACTTTAGAGAATGAGAATATCGCCTTAAAATTAGCATGGCCTCTACTAGAGCACTTTAAGCTAAAGACATTTCTTGTCAACAAATACTTGTTGTTGTTGTTGTTATTTTGCTATTTTAAGCTAAAAAAGGTTTAACAATAATTTTTCAAATTAATAATATACAAGTCCTCAATAAAAAGAATGAAAGCAAAGGGTTTTATAAACTTTTTTAGAAATAAGAGGTTTTTATTGCAGGAGCAATACATGTTTATTTTTGCAAATTTAGAAAATGAAGAAAAGAACAAAGTATTTTAAATTGCTTAGAGTCCAACTAATCATGAAGTGTGTATATGAGCATATAGATATGTATATATGTATATGTACTTATGTGTACGTTACCATTTTACTTTTTCTGCCCAAAATTAAAGTCATACATACCTTCTATTTTGTAACTTTCTATTTTTCAGTTCACATAATGCAAACGTTTCCGTTTCATTATTCTCCAACATCATTTTAAACCTTCCCTGCCAATTTCCCACAGCCTTCCACCCAGCTTCCTCTTTTTTCACTAAAAGCAGACGACTTCACCTCTTTCTACTCAGAAAAATTAGAAGCCATCAGAAAGCAGCAACTACCTCATTTTCCTGTTACTGAGCTTGCAAACCTCCCTGCAAATGCGCACACATACTCTGTCCCTTTGCTATGATGGAGAAGGCAATTCTTTGCCAGCTCTGCCCGCTCCTCCAGAATCTGTTTTGGGTCCAGCCTTCCCCACCTGGCCCAGCTCTCCCCTAAGCTCTAGTTGGGAATATCCAGCAGCCTTCCAGCCCCTTCTCTTGAATGGCTCCAGTGCACCCCAAAGTCTACATTTCCCAATGCTGGCGCTCATTCAGTGTTCTCTGTCATGTGCTAGTAGGTGCAAGAGACCCAAAAGTCATCTTCACTGCCTCCCTCTCCCTCACTCCATATCCAGTTGGTCACTGAGGCCATTCAAATCTCCCTTCCAGATATCTCTTGAATTTGTCTAGTTATGTGCGTCTCCGGCACCACTACCCTCCTTGTCTCTGGACTTCTGAAGTCTTTTCGTCCACTCTGCCCTCCTCCTATCCATTCGCCAAATGACAGGCAAAGAGATGGCTTTTATATTTAAATCATGCACACCCTGGCTCAGAATCTTGCAGGGCTTTCCATTGCTCTTAGGAACTACATAAAGTTCTTCCACCTGGCTTCCATGACCCTCCATAGCCCGGCTGATGTTCACCTCCCCAGGCTCACCTCACCTTAAGTGGCCTCTATGCTCTCTGCACCTCTGCTGCACTACCCAGCTTCCCATTCCTCATGCTTTTTCTGCTTTCACTCACCACAGGACCTTTGCATATACTGTTCTCCCTGTCCAGAATGCTCTTTCTCTTTTTTGCTAGTTATCCTTTTTTAAGTAGTTCTTCCTCAAGGAACCCCTTTTTGACCTCTTTTACTAGATAAAATCCCATTATTGTAGGCTCTCAATTTATCTCTCACTCATAGCATATGTTCCACCTGCAACATTATACTTGCTTACGTGTTTGAGGTCTGTATTAGTCTGTTCTCACATTGCTACAAAGAACTACCTGTGACTGGGAAATTTATAAAGAAAAGAGGTTTAATTGGCTCATGGTTCCGTGGGCTGTACAGGAAGCATGGCTGGGGAGACTGCGGGAAACTTCGATTCATTGAAAAAGGTGAAGAGGAAGGAGGCACATCTTACATGGCTGGAGCAGGAGAAAGAGTGAAGGGAGAGATTCTACACACTTTTAAACAACCACATCCCATGAGAACTCACTCACTGTCACAAAAGCACCAAGGGGGACGTCCACCCCATGATCCAAACACCTCCCACCAGGCCCCTCCTACAACATTGGGAATTACAATTCAACATGAGCTTTGGGTGAGGACACAAATCCAAACTATATCAAGGTCTATCCCCATTAAATTCTGAGTATCTTGGGGGCAGGAGTCATGACTAACTTGCATATATATATATCCCCAGCACTTAATCCAGTGCCTACCTTATGGTGTCACTTAATGGACATTCGAGAATGAATGAATGAGTTAAAAGTACATCTAACTCCACAGATCTAAGATAAACTCAAGGTCTTTTCTCTGAAATAGGCTTTTCATCTAGTTTCCACTCCCATAGAATGGCTCGAACATCCATCTGGAGATGGAGTCAGAAGCCCAGAAGTGGTCTATTATGGGCTGACTGTATCTACCCAAAAAAGATATGTTGAAATCCTAACCCCCAATACCTCAAAATGCAACCTTATTTGGAAATAGGACCGCTGCAGGTGTAATTAGATAAGATGTGGTCATACTGGAGTAGGGTGGGCCCTAATCCAATATGACTGGTGTCCTTATAAAAAGGGGGAAATTTGGCCAGGTGCAGTGGCTGACGCCTATAATCCCAGCACTTTGAAAGGCTGAGGCAGGTGGATCACGAGGTCAGGAGATCTGAGACCATCCTGCTAACACGGTGAAACCCCGTCTCTACTAAAAATACAAAAAAAATTAGCTGGATGTGGCAGTGGGCGCCTGTAGTCCCAGCTACTCAGGAGGCTGAGGCAGGAGAATGGCGTGAACCCGGGAGGTGGAGCTTGCAGTGAGCCGAGATCACGCCACTGCACTCCAGCCTGGGTGACAGAGCAAGACTCCGTCTCAAAAAAAAAAAAAAAAAAAAAAAAAAAAAAAGGTGGGGGTGAAAATTGGACACAGACACATACATACAGGGAAAACATCATGTGAACATGAAGGCAGAGACCACAGTGATGCTGCTACAAGCCAAGGGACCACAAAGACTGCCAGCAAGTCACCAGAAGCTAGGAGACAAAGATGGAGCAGAGTCTCCCACGCTGCCTTAGAAGGAAGCATCTGTGTCAACACCTTGATCTTGGCCCTCTACCGTCTATGATTGAGAGACATAATCTCTGTTCTTCTAAGCCACCCAGATTGTGGTATTTTGCTCCCTAGAAAAATAATACACCATCCTTGATCTTTCCCTCCCTCTTATACCCGCCCCCCCAACAATATCCAATCCATCACCACCACATTCCATTGGTTTTACCTCCTGAATTCCTCCTCTCCCATCCACCTTCTCACCATCTCCACCTCCACCACAGGATCCAAATGCCCCTTGTCTCTCCTGAACTACTGCAGTGGCATTCTGGCCGGTCCCCAAACCCATTATGCCCCTTGCAAACTTTCCTCCCCACTGCAGCCACAGTGATTTCTCTGCAAATCTGACTTTGTCCCACAACCTTCACCACCCTTGACCCCTTACCCCTTCCCTGGCCACACTGAAGCTGCCCATTACTCTTACCATAAAGACATGCCCAGAGGGTACCCTGTCTCCCCTCCAGACCTTCACCGGCTCCCAGACCCCACTCTGTAGGCCAGCTGGCCAGCCTCCTTCTGTCCCCTGAACAAGCCATGCTCCCCCGACAACTGGGCCCTTGCAGTGAGTGTGGCAGCCCCTCTGCCTGGCCTGCTCTGCCTCACTCCACCCATTCACCACGTTTCTCCAGCACATCCTGCAGGTCACAATTCAAAAGTCATTGGTTTTTAGAGAAATCTTCCCTCGTCCCTGGATGAAGTTAAATGCCACTGATACGCCCTCTCTTCATATCCCATCATTCCTCATCATGGCACTGACCATGATTTGTGAATTGCATTTATTTCTGAGTTATCTGACTGTATCTCTAAGTTTCATTAAGGAGAGGCCATGTCTGTTTTGCTCACTGTTGCTCTCTGGCCATCAGCACAGGGCCAACATGCAGCTGTAGAATGAGTGAATGAAAAATGATTCTTTTGCCAGAATAAAATAAGACACAGTGAATTTGACTGATCTTATTTCTCTCCATGTAGACTTTTCCCATTATTTTATAAATGTATCAATACTGTGATACATTACCAAAAAGATAACTTTGTGCACATATCTGGTTTCTTCAAGGCAAATTATTGAAATACATTGAATACACAAAGGTTTTGAAGGTCCACCTAATTGTTTAGAATTTTCTCAAATGGGAAAATATTAACCATAAACAGATACGAGAGAGAGGGATAGAAGAAAGGGAAGGAGAAAGAAAAAGAAGGTGAGAGAGAGGAAGCAGGAGGAGGAAAAAGAAGGTAAGGAAAAAGGAAAAGAGAAAGGGAAAAGGGAGGGGAGGGAAGAGGGAGAGAAGGGAAGCGGGAGGGAGAGAAGGAAGGAAAGGAGGGAGGGAGGGAGAGAGGAAGGAAGGAAGGAAGGAAGGAAGGAAGGAAGGGAGGGAGGGAGGGAGGGAGGGAGGGAGGGAAAAAAGAAGAATCAAAAAAGGAATGAAGAAAAAGAGGATGACCTAAGTTAACCAGGCTCTGTCTCCCTGGGAAGCAGTCTCTGCTGAGACTGTTGCCCAACCAGTTTCCTAGGCCCACTCTGTCTGTATCCCTGCCAAGCCATCCCTGGGAAAGGAAAAGTTAGACACTCACAAATCCCAAGGTTTAAGATGATAAAGACCCCACGAGGCAGGGGCGAAGCAGTTCAGGGCTTTTTGTTCCTCTGCCCCTTTGTTCCAGCCATTTCTTCCATCTCAAAGGATTTTCAGCTGCACCAAGAGCCTGACACTTTGCCCATCCTCGTTCTCACAGGCTTCTCCAGCGAGAGACAAAGCAATGTTGGCACTGAGGAGGGCCCACAATAAAGGGGGAACTAAGAAAGAAGAAAGCACCCAGAGAATCTGGCTGGGCCCAGTATACTCAGTTGCTGCAGCAACTGAAAGTTAAACAATGAAGAGGGGAGGGGACAGCCACTTTCTACCCTCCGTCCAGTTGTCATGGATACCGGGATTTTAAAAGTAAAGGGGTGAAAGGTTTTCTTTATGCTTCAGAAACAGTGCCTTTTTTTCACTTACTTGGCTTGTATCCTTGCTCCAGGTTGGGGACCTTCCATTGTGAGTCTTACTGGAAGGCGGCTTGGAAAGGAGGATGACTGCAAGATGCTTTCGGTAAAGGTGATCTTCTGGCCAGTAGCTCTAAGATCCATTTCTGTGTAAGCCAGGCAGAAAGGCTGAAGCACTCGTGGAAATTTCCATCCACCAGAATGTTCTATCTATGTGGCAGGAAGGCTGTCTCCTTGACCTCTTTCCTCCCAGTGTTCTGATTCTCCCAGGAGTGCTCACTGACAGGCAGTTCCTTAAGGTTTTAGCCTTGCCCCTCCACTTCCATCTGCCCCCCACCACCCACTCAGAGACCAGTAGGTGGCTTCCTCCTCCAGAACTTTTCAGGATGAATACAGCACAGCTCCTGCCTCTGATGTTGTCTCCTGGCTTCTTTACCCTGAAACAATGTCAGGGCCCTGGCAATCTTGCGGTTCAGCATTGTTGGTAAGAAGGTCATCAGCTTTGCTGACCAAGAGTCAACACTCAGCTCTACCATTCACCAGAATGACTTGGCAGGGTACTTAATTTCTCAGAATCTAATTTTCTCATCTATAAACACAGATTATAACATCTACCACATGGCATTGTTGGGAGTGTGAAGTGAGAAAATGTAGCAGGCACTGCAAAAGCGATAGTGTCCTTGCCCATGTCTCCAGCACCCATTCCGCTCCCTCCACATCTGCACACACTCACACGTGTTTTCATACACTCATGCATGCATGCTCACACCCACACTCAGACACACACACTCCCGCACAATCACACACACATGTGCAGCCACATCCGTTCACACACACTCACACACATACTTATACACTCTCACACACACTCATCACACACACTCAGCTGTCCATTTTCGACCTGAAATGAAAGCCACTAGAATGTCTTATTTTAGTGCCTATCAGGCAGGAGGGAATACAGCCGCCTGGTAGAAGCAATTCTGTCCATCCAACCAACCAACCAACCGTCACCGATAAGTGCTCTAATTCACCTAATAAGTGCCTAACACTAAAGTCATAAGGGGGCACCAGGCAGAGTGACCAATCACCAGCTCACAATTGCCTGGGTGCCGAGCTCCAGCCTTGCTCTGCTGCCAGGAGCTCAGGGTGGCCCCAAGACGCTCCGTCGGCCTCTGTGTGCCTTCATTTCCCAACGCTTGGCAACGCAGCCTGAAACCCCATCCACCGCACAATGATTGTTTGTGTTTGGATGACCAGGGCAAGGATGGTCCTGCAGTGCGGTGCTTGCTGGCCGCATGCCTCCTGCAGGCCTGAAGCTCTCCATCTCTTCACTGGAGTCTGGTAGGTCAAACTGACACCAGCATCTTACAAACATTTGGAATAAATGCCTGTTTTATATAAAAAGACCTGTAAAACTTTTCTCATAAATAATGGCTTTACTTTTTATTAGAATTATTATCAGCTGTCTTACGACGGTGCAAAAATCGTATATGTGCATATTAAAAGGAACTGAAATGAATCACAGAAAATTGAAAGCTATCACTTTGTTTAGAGTAGTGGGATTGGATGTTTTTGACCTTTATTTCCATTTTAATATTGTTACAATATTTCCGAAAGAAATACAAATTAAAATTATAAGCATGAGGTATTAGGAGACTGATATACAGCAACCAAATAAACAAAATCTTTAACTTACAATTCTTCTATTTGTTTGCATTACACACAGAATTCATTTCTCCTAAAATAACAAAAAAGAGTACCTGGAGGTATCTGTTGAATCTACGCCTAGATCCTAGACAACAACATCAGAAACTTATCCAGACCCCTGAAACAAAAGAATTAATTCCATAATAATGGACAGTTCATGCAGAACCTTAGAAATAATTTCACCTAAGGCTTCCCTATGTCCCCATTGGAGCCTACCAGATAGTTGCCGTCGAGGATAAAGGCCATCCTGGACAAAAGGAAAGATGGATAGCAGGACTGTTTAGAATACAGAAGATATTTGGCCTCTTGAAAGCTGGAAGTATAGCTTAGAAAAGGAAAATACCACGCAACAGTAGTGAGCGATTACATTCTTGGCCAGGTAGAACTAACTGTGAGCTGTGCAAGCCAGGAGGACACGTCCATGGTGCTACGGAGGAAGAAGTAAGCCGGGGCAGCCTTGATGGGTGAATAAGACCTCTTAGGCTTGTCGAGGAGACATTTGTATGTTCACGTTTAACTCCAGCCAAAACCGTCATTCACACAGTGCACTGGGCATTGAAGACAAAGTAAATATTGATGAAATGAATAGAATTGTCAAATTATTCCCTGGGATTACAAAATAAAATACAGCTGCACAGCCTTTGTCTACCTGCATCCATTTAGAGAAAGTATTCTTGGGTCTATTGACTGATAAAGACACAAGTCAGGCATAGCTCCAGAAAAAAAAAAAAAAAAAGTTGCAGTGACATTGGGAATCAGGAACCACCTTTACCATATGCTGTGTTTCAGACGCTGCTCTAAGCACTTTCATGGATTATCGCATTAGTTATCATTAAAATCCCGTTCCAGGCTGGGTGCGGTGGCTCACACCTATAATCCTAGCATTTTGGGAGGCCAAGGCAGGCAGATCACTTGGGGTCAGGAGTTTGAGACCAGCCTGGCCAACATGGTAAAACCCCATCTCTACTAAAAATACAAAAATTAGCCAGGCGGAGTGACAGGTGCCTGTAATCCCATCTACTCGGGAGGCTGATGCAGGAGAATCGCTTCACCCTGGGAGGCAGAGGTGGCAGTGAGCCAAGATGGCCTGGGCGACAGAGTGAGACTCTGTCTCAAATAAAAAAAAAAACCCGTTCCATAGGTGAGGGAACAGAGACAGAGAGAAATGAAAAAGGAAACATTCGAAATTATTGTGAAGGCAACAAGTAGAATTTCGCTTTGCCCAATGGAGTGACTTTACAGAAGAAAATAAGAAATAGACCTGGCAGGGTCATTTGGGCCAAAGTCTGGAGGTTCCTGGTTGCCAGTCAAGGGATTTGATATTGTGTAGGTTGTCATTAAGGTCCCAGAGCAGGTGAGCAAAGCAATGTTCTAAGATTTCTTTTGTTTTTTGTTTTGTTTTGAGACAGGGCCTCACTTTGTCATCCAGGCTGGAGTGCAGTGGCGCAACCATGGCTCACTGTAGCCCTGACCTCTCCAGGCCCAAGTGATCCTCTCACCTCAGCCTCCTGAGTACCTGGGACTACAGGGTGGCACCACCATGCCAAGCTTAATTTTTGTATTTTTGGTAGAGATGGAGTCTCACCATGCTGCCCAGGCTGGTCTCAAACTACTGGACTCAGGCAGTTTGCCCACCTCAGCCTCCCAAGGAGCTGAGATTACAGGCATGAGCCACCGTGCGGGCCTAAGATTTCTTGAAGAGTTTAAAAAATAAAGTATAGGCCAGGCGCAGTGGCTCACACCTGTAATCCCAGCACTTTGGGAGGCCAACGCAGGCAGATCACTTGAGGTCAGGAGTTCAAGACCATCCTGGCCAACATAGTGAAACCCTGTCTGTACTAAAAATACAAAAAGTATCTGGGCGTAGTGGCGGGCGCCTGTAATTCCAGCTATTCGGGAGGCTGAGGCCAGGGAATCGCTTGAACCTGGGAGGTAGAAGTTGCAGTGAGCTGAGATCATGCCATTGCACTCCAGCCTGGCAAGAGAGCGAGACTCTGTCTCAAAAAAATAAAATAAAATAAAAATAAAGTATAACTAGAAATGAAAACAGAAGCACCTTAAACAGGACACTAGGGAAGAAGCTGACGTCGGTGCCCTTTGGTATCCACAACATCCCCATGAGGTAGGAATTATATTCTGTGTGTTGCATTACAATTTGTAAAAGGGGTATGTTTCAACTGGCATCTCAGATAATTTTAAACTATTACCCTAAATAATTCTGACACAAGAAGCTCCCAACATCTGAGAAATATTGGCTTTCAAAGAGCTGATGGCTCCTATATCCCCTGCCTTGACTTCCCTTTTCTTTACCTCTACTCCCTGTACCCTCAAGTCTCCACATGAAATCCCAGCCCACCAGCAGCGCTTCTCCTCAGAACCAGCAATATTCACTGCCTGGGCCAGCCCTTTTGGGCTTTTGTTCGTCTTCTCTCCTGTCTCTGTCTGTGTCTGTCCTGCCTTTACCAGGAGGAGATTGAGGAGACAGCATCAATTTACAGCTAGGGTTGACAGGTACCAGACAGTGACCATGTGCCAGTCTTGGGGAAAGTCATTTACAAACACACAGTGGTGCTTCAGAAGGCAGGTCCTAGAAACAGAATGCCTGGGTTTGAATCCTGCTGGGGCCACTAAGTTTTTTGCTCATTTCTCTTCTCCAGGGCTCGCTTTCTGAAAATAGGTTGTTTAGCGGATTCTGTGAGAAAAAGCACACAACGGGCTCATCACCCAGCAGCCCCTGGCATACAGCGAAAGCACGCAACAATTGTGGGCTGCTCCCATGATCAAATTTGATTCCATGCCATTCACACAAACCCTCTCAAGAGCCCTGTGTACACAGATACGTAGCAGATGCATAACACATCCACGGCAGGCTGCCTGGGGCTAAGATAGGGGATACAGGACCAGCAGCATCTCAAGCATTTGTGCACCAGGAAATAGGTGCTGAGGATTTGTTTGATAGAAAAGGGGAAAAGATTGGCACACCACTTGGGGAATGGTAAGAAACACAAGGAAATGGGGAGCATGGCCCCACTCTGTCCCCGACAGCCAGGCTGGAGTCCCCATTGGGTGTGCAATGTTGGAGCCCAAAGAACTGTTTTCCTGAGTGGCGGTGGGACTCCGGGAGTCAGCCGCGCTGCTGCTGGGCCAGACAACACCGCGGTGGGAATGCGAAAATACAGTGGACTGTGTCAGTATACATTTAAGTCACCACCGGAAAAGGGGAAGAAATAACAAGAAAAATGAGAGATTGGTGAGAACCAGGAGAGAGAAAAGTGCTGAGATCGTGCAGTTACCCAGTGAGAAGCTAACAAAACTCCCAAACGTGTCACGGGGATCCCTTCTGCACCCCTAGACTGCTGAGGCCTTGAGACACGGATGGGATTAACCCAAGTTTAGAGATGGAGGAACTGAGACTCGGGGAGGTTAAATGGCTCAACCAACATCCCGACTCTCCTACACTTCCCCACTCGCTGTCCGTCCGGCTTTTGCACGGCAGCACCTCGCCTCCACCTGGCTGACAGCTTGATGCTGGCCTGCCGCCTCTGAGCATCTGAGTGAGGCTCAGCCTCCTGGTAACTGGCCTCAGATTAGGGTGGAACAACAGGCAGGGCGGGTAGGGCTGGGTCCCCTGGGGCCGTCCCTCCGCATCACCTCCAAAGACCCGCCTCTATTAGCTGCAGCAGGCCCACTGCTGTACTCCATAATCCAAATTGAGTTCAAGCTCCCAGCCTCCGTGCACCATTGTGATACCATATTTTTTATTCAGTACAAGATCAGAGATCTGCTAAAACCTCATGTTGCCAACATAAAAGAAGAAAGATTTTGTTAATCCCAAAGAAAATGAATTCCTCTTATATTTCCCTGAAAAACAAAAAAAGGAAAATACGAGAGTATTACATTTGACTCTCAAGAAAAAAAAAAAGAAAGAAAGAAAAGAAAAAACCACGTACACACAGAAAAATCCTGCTATCATGAGATGGTTAAAGCATGCGGCTTTGCAGGTCAACAAAAAGAAGGGCAATTACACTCCCCTTCACCTCTTGCCAGTTTGCCTTCTTATCCTAGATATTCCAGCTGTTTTTCCCTGAGATGCTTTTGGATACGATAATCCCACCAGTCTTGAAATACAGTATGTTTGAGGACGCAGAGTCAAAAGAGAGGACGTTAATAGGATTCGAGTGAGAAGAGAGCAAGGGGCAAGAAAAGAGAGTAAGAGAAAAAATAAACTAGCCCTAAAAACTTGATTTTTTTTTTTTTTTTTTTTGAGACGGAGTCTCACTCTGTCACCCAGTCTGGAGTGCAGTGGCATGATCTCGGCTCACTGCAAGCTCCACCTCCCGGGTTCATGCCACTCTCCTGCCTCAACCTCCCAGTAGCTGGGACTACAGGCGCCCGCCACCACGCCCGGCTAATTATTATTTTTTTTTTTTTGTATTTTTAGTAGAGATGGGGTTTCACTGTGTTAGCCAGGATGGTCTCGATCTCCTGACCTCGTGATCCGCCCGCCTTGGCCTCCCAAAGTGCTGAGATTACAGGCATGAGCCACTGCGCCTGGTCTTTTCTTTCTTTTTTTTTTTTTTGGAGACAGAATCTTGCCCCATCATCCAGGCTGGAGTGCAGTGGCTCAATCTTGGCTCACTGCAACCTCTGTCTCCTGGGTTCAAGCAATTCTCCTGCTTCAGCCTCCCAAGTAGCTGGGACTACAGGCACCTGCCACCACGCCAGGCTCATTTTTGTATTTTTAGTAGAGACAGGGTTTCACCATGTTGGCCAGGCTGGTCTCAAACTCCTGACCTCAAGTGATCTACCCACCTCAGCCTCCCAAAGTACTGGGATTACAGGCGTGAGTCACTGTGCCTGGCCTCATCTGCACTCTTGACAGCTCTCTCATTGACCCACTTATTCACTAAAACATCTGATAAATAACTGAATTGTGCAGTGCAGGGCAGTGTGTAGCACATCATGGCCTCAGGACCCAATCCAGCCCACTGCCTGGTTTTGAATAGCCTCTGAGCTAGGGGTGATTTTTACATTTTTTACAGGATGAAAAATTTTTAAGAATAATATTTTCTAACACTTGAAAATTATACACAATTCACATTTCGGTGTCCACAAATGAAGTTTTATTGGAACACAGACACACTCATTCATTCACACTGTCTATGGCTGCTTTCCGGTTACAGCAGCAGAACTGAGTAGTTATGACGAAGACGGAATGGTCTGCAAAGCCTAAAATCTTTACCATTTGGCTGTTACGGAGGAATTTGCAGACCTCAAGCATATCAAATCCTTTGATAGTGTGGATTTGTGGTTCTCTAAGTTCCTCCACCTTGCTGACATGAACATTGGAGTACCCTGGCCCAGAACCACCATCTAGGGGCTGCGTGACAGGCCAATCTGTGAGCATCTCTATGCTTTGTCTCTTTCATCTGTAAAATGGAGATCGTGTTTATTGAAACAGCATAATTGAAACCCAAGTGGACATCAACTGAGGTCACCCTGCCCTCTGAAATTTGAATAAAATTGATTCAAGTACAACCCTATGTCCTGGCAAAGTCTCACATCCACCCTGACATCCCCAGAGTGTACATCCTGGTGGTCACTTTGGCTCCAAATGGCAGCTCTTCCCAAACTTTGATTTCACTCATCTCCCAGCTTCATCAGCTGGTCTCACTGCTCTATCCCAGCACAGACTGTGTAACTCAGCCAGCTCTCCTTAAAACACAGTCACAGGGGGCATTTGGTGTGAAGCAGGTTTTGCTGAGGGTTTGTGGCCATGGGGAGGAAATGTCATGGCCTACACAATTTAAACCCAAACAATTTAAAACGGGGCATCCAGCTTCTGTCTTTTCAGCAGGCTCATGGCTGAGCCAACACCAGCAATTTCCCAGGGGCCACATTCCCTGCAGGTTCCAGCCTTCTGCTATGCCAGCCCACCCTTCCAAATGCACTCACTCCTTCTCGGGATTCTCACTTCTTCCTGCTTCTCTGTTTTCTGGATCCCCTTGGTCCTCAAGACCACCCCTGCCGCCCCTCGCCCAGAAGTTCAATTTTCAACCCCGTATAATACAGGACCAACTAGCTTTCCACCCTGATGCCTACCTTTCCATGGCCATAGACTTGAGGTTTTTGATGAACGAAAGACCCCTTACTCTGGCTTATCCTTTAGCAACCCAGAACTATCAGAATGTCAGACATCCTCTCCTTGCTCCAGCAATCTCTAAGTGTCCATACAGTGTCCAACTGATAGGAATTGTTTCATATCTCCCTTGGAAAGCAGAAGCACTAACAGTTGGTTTGGGGTTGACCTGCTTTTTCTCTTCATTAAAGTGTCTGAAGTATCTACTATGGTGTTTAACACATAAAAAGCACCAATAAATGCTAGTTTACTTCACATGACTTCCCTCCAACAAACAATATATATAACATTGTATGCATAACAATATAAGTGGCACATGTGAATTTTGAACACCCACTTGTCCACAATGAAAATCTCCATCTGGAGGATGTATTGGGGTGTGAGGAGGAAGGCGGAGTGGATTAGGTTGGAGGCCACCCAGGACAAGGTGACAAAAGTCACACATTTCTCTTTCTCTATCATTTAAATGTATCAGAGGCTGAAGAAAAGTCACCAGATCAAACTCCCTTGGATATTGCCACATTCTTTCCTTGCCAGAAAAAGAGTCCTAAGAAATTCATGTATATACACAATGAAATACTATTTGGCCCTAAAAAAGAAGGAAATTATGTCATTTGCGACAATATGGATGGAACTGGAGGTCATCGTGTTACATGAAAGAAGCCACGCACAAAAGACAAATATCAGATATTCTCACTGATATGTGAGAACTAAAATAGGTGGATTGCATGGAGATAGAGAGTAGAATGGTAGTTACCAGAGGCTGGGAAGGGTGCACTGGGGTGAGGATGAAGAGAGGCTGGTTAATGCGTACAAACATACAGTTAGACAGTGTTCAGTAGCGGAGTAGGGTGACTATCATTTACAACAATGCATTGTATATTTTTTATTTTTTATTATTTTGTTTTATTTTTCCATAAGTTTTTGGGGAACATGTGGTGTTTGGTGACATGAGTAAGTTCTTTAGTGGTGATTTGTGAGATTTTGGTGCACCCATCACCCGAGCAGTATATACTGCACATAATTTGTAGTCTTTGATCCCTCGCCCCCCTCCCACTCTTCCCCCCAAGTCCCCAAAGTTCATTGTGTCATTCTTATGCCTTTGCATCCTCATAGCTTAGCTCCCACATATCAGTAAGAACATACGATGTTTGGTTTTCCATTCCTGAGTTACTTCACTTAGAATAATAGTCTCCAATCTCACCCACGTCACAGCAAATGCTGTTAATTCATTCATTTTTATAGCTGAGTAGTACTCCATCATATATATATACCACAGTTTCTTTATCCATTCATTAATTGATGGGCATTTGGGTTGGTTCTACAATTTTGCAATCGTGAATTGTGCTGCTATAAACATGTATGTGCAAGTATCTTTTTTGAATAATGACTTCTTTTCCTCTGGGTAGATACCCAGTAGTGGGATTGCTGGATCAAATGGTAGTTCTACTTTTAGTTCTTTAAGGAATCTCTACACTACAACAACGTATTGTATATTTTTATTTTTAGTTTATCTTTTTTTTTTTTTTTGAGACGGAGTTTCGCTCTTGTTGCCCAGGCTAGAGTGCAATGGCACGATCTGGGCTCACCACAACCTCTGCCTCCCAGGTTCAAGCAATTCTCCTGCCTCAGCCTCCCGAGTAGCTGGGATTACAGGCATGCGCCACCACGCCCGGCTGATTTTGTATTTTTAGTAGAGATGGGGTTTCTCCATGTTGAGGCTTGTCTCGAACTCCTGACCTCGGGTGATCCACCCGCCTCAGCCTCCCAAAGTGCTGGGATTACAGGCATGAGCCACCGCGCCCAGTCTATTGTATATCTTTAAATAGCTGGAAGAGAGGACTTGAAATGTTCCCAACACACAGAAATAATAAATACTCAAAGTGATGGACACCCCAAATACCCTGACTTGATCATTGCTCATTCTGTGTATGTAATAAAATATCACATGCCCCCCATAAAAATTGGTACAAATATGATGTATCAAAATAAAATAAAATTTAAAATGATAAAAGAAGGATCCTAAGTCTTTGTATCTATTACATCTATGCTGCATAGAACATCCACTGAGGACCATTTCTTCTCTCCTCACGCCGCCTTTTGCAATCTATAATTTGGTCATACTGAAACGCCATCCCCCTATGTGCCACCTTGTCTAAACCCCTAAATTTTTCACATGCTGCTTTCTTTACTAGAACTCTCTTTTGTGGCCCAACCCCTCTGCCTGGCAAATATCTACATGTCCATCAATACTTTGCACCTCCCATGACCAACATGATAAATAAATCTGCAGTACTTGCAAGATTTCATTCAGTGGTTCTCAAAGCACTCAAACTGGAAGATAAGAGGCAGCCAAGAGTTGGCGGGCACCACAACAGTGCTGCCCTTGGGTCTATTCTAGAATAGACTTCCTGAGCATTTCCTGGGCAGACCACACTGCCAGGGCGAAAGGCTGCTCACACCCCCACTGCACGGACAATGGCCAGTTTCTGCCTCCTATAGTCACAAGGCTGCCCTCCGTGTCTCCCAGCATCTTTCGGCCCTTCTGGAGCCGCCCAGTTGGCCAACCACTCCTGGGGCTGCCAGGCAGTCTCTCCCTTGGCTCAGTCCACAGAATCAGATTTGGAGTGTCTGTCAAATGAATTGGGGTTTTGTTCCTTCCAACCTGTGTTGAAATTTACAAGCCTAAGACAAAGGCTCTCACTGTGCCCTGGTCTTGGCTCTGCCCAGGGCACTAATTACCCAACAACAACCATCCATTTCTTTGGGAGAAAGTGGCCAACTCTGATTAAGGAGCCCCATGAGAGGGTGCCGAGAATGATCTTTTCACTTTCTTTCTAAAGTGCCTTTGTCCCTATCACCAGTGGGCTGCCCTGCCTCAGTGCTGCTGGGCATTTATAGATACACATGAGTTGCCAGGAGGCCTCACAGGTGTTGGGTGGCTACCATGTGCTGAGGCTATGCAAAATTTTCTCTGTACCTGAGCACTATTCCTTTATAACTCTGCAAAGTGAGCATTATTATCCCCACTTGAAAGTCAAGGGACCAAAATCCCAGAGCCATAAAATCAGAATGAAACTGACCTGGATTATAAACCGGTTCTGGCTCAAAAGCAACACCCATGCTTCCAGAATAAACTAGGAAGCACAGCTCTTCCCAAATCCTAGAATCATGTCATTTTGCAACTGGAAACAACCCTACTAAAGATCATCTTGTTCAGCCAAAGCCCAAAACAGTAAGGGGACCTGGACCACGAACATATCTGGTAGATTGACTGGCACTGACCTGGAATCCAGGTCATGGACTTTGAGGCCAGCACTATTTCCCATCAACTTGCTCACCCATCATTGTCCTAGACTTCCCAAGGGCTTTGCCTCACTGATTGTTGACCAGGATGCTCTATACTGAACAGGTAATTTAATGAGACCTTGAACTGTACAACAAGCCAAAGGTAGTTGGAGTAGCTGGCATCTCAGTGAATGCAGCCAAACATGTCTATGGGACATCAGTCAACAGGAGGCAGAATTGCTACAGTCACTAATGGCAGATGCTACGGACACCCTTGAAGGAAGAAGAAACAATAAAGAACTTGTGTGGAATACAATCCAAAAGGTTGGACGAAATGAAGACTTTCTATACCAATTAGAGGACAGTTTCCTAAAAACTAAAAAACTGAGAACTCCTCAAAAGCAAAAACCAAAAATGAGGCGTCTTCAAACTGTTCAGCAAAGCTAGTTATTAGGGAGCAGGTGCTACCACTAAGAAGTCCCAGAAGAAGAGGCAAGGGCATCCACTCAGGATGAGCCCACCCAGTACTGTGACAGCTAGATAACAAAGGCCTGCCACCAAAAGAAAGAGATGGTATTCCCCTCAGTTCATCTTTATCAAAGACACTCTATGTTTCATTAATCTCAATTGGCAGCAATAAATGTTCTCAGCAAGTTTGAAAAAACAAAAAACTAAGTACCAGAGTGCAGAAGGCATGTGTGTCCGAGGCTTTGGAGCAACATAATGAAGTAACTACCTAGGCACTCACCTTCTGCACACCTATGTGGTGAGCTGGAATCTGACATGAGAGCCCAGGTGGACAGAAACACAACCCAGAGCCTGGTGATTGGAGGGAAACACCCTAGAAGGAAGAACAAGATCACAATAAAATAAAGAAGGACTAGCCCTTATCTCCAGGCCTAAAGTAAATCCTATTGCACCAGACGAAAATCAGGCAGCAAGCCAAATTCACTCTGCCTTGCTGCAGAATATCTCCCTGTTATGTTTTCGTGGGAATCTTGTACCCTAGGTACAAAGTGAGCAGATTTGCTACTAGCAGTTACTTCTCTTCCTCTGAAAGTAAGCAATAGGAAAGCAGGTGAGGCGGCTGGAAGTGGGGAGGGTGACTGGATCCAAGACTAGCCACAAAGAATTAAACCCATCTATTTCACGTAGGAAACACTGAGGCCAAACTTTATTAAACTCTCCGAGAGAATAAAATACGGAATAAGTAACCCTAAACAGACTACTTTGCTTAATCCACGAAGGGCAAAGTAAGTAACAAAGGTCTTAGATTGTAGTAAGAAACACTGACTTGAAACATCAATCACCATGAAGAGAGTGACAACACATGAATCAATTCGATTTAGTTAAGCCATAGAGCATTGTAGCTTAAAGTTCACACAGTGCCAGACTGTTGGGATGTAAGTTTTGATTCAAGCACTTACAAGATGTTTGCCCTTAGGTCAAGGTGTGATGGCCCGTGTCTCAGCCTCACCCACCTGGGATAGAGTCGTGGCCCTGGTATTCCCTCATACTGTTGCTGGAATGAGGTACTAAAACATTGAGTGTTGGCTGCACTGCAGTCACTGTTCTAAGCATTCTCCATGTGTTATCTCATTTAAGCCTGACAACAACTCTATAAAGTCGTCACTTTTATTACAAGCACCTGCACATAGACACATGCACACACACATACACTGCACAGAAAAGGAAACAGACATGCTGAGGTTAGGGAACATGTCCAGCCTCACACAACTGGTGAACAGTAGAGTCGGGATTTGAACCCACACAGTCGGACACTAAATCCTGTGTCTCACCACCACACTGTCTGTCATTCACAGAAATGTTTATCCGAGTGCCTGGAGCCCAGCAAGCCCTTGGAATCCTTCCGCCTCAGTGTTGTTCCGATGGGTTCTGAGATGTTGGAAATCACAACTGAGCAAGGCTTCTCTGCAAATTTGGCTGGAACACTGACAGCAGGGCTGACAAGGCACTCACTAGATGGCAGCTTGAGGCCTTACGCATCACAGGGTGGGAGATCATCTCTCTTTAAACCAAGCCTCTGAAGCAGGGTAGATGCAATGCATTCAACATGGGGGCTCAACCAGAATAACAAAGAGTACTCTTTGTTTTGAAGTCCCAGCTTGGGCTTGGAATCTTCACCTTAAAAATCAAGTTAGAGGCCGGGTGCGGTGGCTCACGCCTGTAATCCCAGCACTTTGGAAGGCCAAGGCAGGAGGATCACGAGGTCAGGAGTTTGAGACCAGCCTGACCAACATGGTGAAACCTTGTCTCTACTAAAAAACCAAAAATTAGCCGGGTGTGGTGGTGCGCGCCTGTAATCCTAGCTACTGAAGAGGCTGAGGCAGGAGAATCGCTTGAACCCGGGAGGCGGAGGTTGCAGTGAGCCAAGATGGCACCACTGGACTCCAGCCTGGGTGACAGAGTGAGACTCTGTCTCAAAAATAAAATAAAAATCAAGTTAGATTCTACCCAAAGCATTGACCCTATGTGTTCCTAGGAGGGTAGCATGGCCTCTGATACTCTAACTGACCATAAGTGACCACCTGGCTAGGTACCCGCTGAACCCTCTGCCCTCCTAAAGACTCTCCCTTCTTTACAGTTCCCAGGATCCCAACCAGTGGCAGTGGCTTAGATGGGCATGTGCCGTGCTCTGTGCCTTTTTAACCCCTGGCTAGCCTAGGATGGGTTTGAGCAATGACTCAATCCTGGCAGCAAAGAGCATACCGTGCACGCACACGGCAGCTGCTGCTTCTCCCAGCCCCACCACCCACACAGCTTACACAATCCGCGCGTTGCACCAGGAGGCCAGGTTCCTGCCAGCATTGTTTATTGGCCTGTGTTATAAAAGTCCATGGGAACCCCGCTTTCCTGCCTGCCAACTAGGTTCTGGTTCCTGCTCTTCTTGACTTTCCTACTTTCCTCCTACTTTAGAAATTCTTAATTTCTAAACCCACAAAACCGCAGAAGTAAACCAGCATAGCAATTTTCACCTCTCCGTACTCATCCCTCAGCAGTAGCACTCCTTATTCAGTAAGTGTCGAGAATAGAGAATAATACCAAGACACTAAGTAGATATTCTTTATATTTATATTTATATTTTTTATTTATTTATTTATTTATTTTTGAGACAGAGTCTCACTCTGTTGCCCAGGCTGGAGTACAGTGGCGCAATCTCAGCTCACTGCAAGCTCCGCCTCCCGGGTTCACACCATTCTCCTGCCTCAGCCTCCCGAGTAGCTGGGACTACAGGCACCCACTGCCACGCCCGGCTAATTTTTTGTATTTTTAGTAGAGACGGGGTTTCACTATGTTAGCCAGGATGGTCTGGATCTCCTGACCTCGTCATCCGCCTGCCTCGGCCTCCCAAAGTGCTGGGATTACAGGCATGAGCCACCGCGCCTGGCCAACGTTAGGTAGATTTTCATTGTCATGTCTACTAGACTAACCTACCTTGTGCCCTAGAGTTGTGGCCCTTTGCTCAAAACCATCTGTGCAGGATAAGATGAAACCTTTACCTGTGAACATCTGAGACACAGCCCAGGGACAAAGAATGAGAGTGTGTCACAAGGGACCACATAACCCCCTACCCATACACAGACCCTTCATAATAGAGAGAACCAACTGGGTCTCAAGGAACTCATAACTTTCTTCAACAGATAATTAGAGTAGACATTTGGCCTTATTCTTCATTTGAAGCTTTCTCCAGTTCCAGGTTCTGTGCATAGCCCTTTACAGTTATTATTAATCTTCACAACGACCCAATGACATCATTTAGAGTTGATCTGTAACTATTATAACTCTTCCCATTTAAGATAAGAACTAGATTGCCAATTAACATTTGTGCAGGGCCGGGCACGGTGGCTCATGCCTGTAATCCCAGCACTTTGGGAGGCCGAGGCAGGTGGATCACCTGAGGTCAGGAGTTCGCAACCAGCCTGGCCAACATGGTGAAACCCCATCTCTACCAAAAATACAAAAATTAGCCAGGCATGTTGGCACAGGCCTGTAATCTCAGCTACTCAGGAGGCTGAGGGAGGAGAATTGCTTGAACCTGGGAGGCAGAGGTTGCAGTGAGCCAAGATCGTGCCATTGCACTCCAGCCTGGGCGACAGAGCAAGACTCTGTCTCAAAAAATAAATAAATAAATAAATAAATTTGTGCAGAACTTGACATTTTCACTAAGAGATAGTTGAAGTTGCATAGAAGATGCCTGTATATCAAGTGAAAAAAAAAAGTTAGAAAAGAAGTATACCCAGCATTACTTTATTTTGTTGTTTAGAGTGTGTGTGATTGTATGAGAATCAACATTAAAGACTAGACCCTGAAGGTGTTACCATGAGTTATATTTAGATGGTAGATTACAAGTGGTTTTCATTTTCTTCATTTTGCTTATCTGTATATTCTACAATAAAAATATTATAATATGAAAAAGGAAAATAATTATGTTTGTTCTGTGGGTTTCCTTAGGCCAGAGCTAGGACTGACAGTAGCTCAATTCATGTGAGAAAGAACTTTCTACAATAGAGTGAGAAGCCAGGGCCAAACAGAGGGTGGACATCCATATATGGGGATATCTTAGATTCTTGCCAAGGGAAAACCCAGTGGAGTTTTCAGCCCCAGATACTGTCTTTAAAAGCTCAGGAACCCAAAGTTTTAAAAAGATTTTAAATGATATTTATCTTGTAAGGATGAAGTAGTTGAACCCTCAGGGTGGTGATGTTAGACGAGGCCGGGGCAAGATGAGAAAGTAGGAAGAAGCCAGAGGCAGCGAGGGGGTGAGGGCAGAGATCCATGTTGGCGTGGGGGCTGCATACCCGGGCTCCCCCAGGGAAACTCCACTGAACTGCTAGGGCTCCAGAAAGCCCCAGTGGATTTAGACCAATGGGGAACACTTGGCAACCCTTCTTTGTTCCCCTTTTGTGCAGATTTTCATAAGGATGTTGACTGTCTTTTCTAAAGGCTTGTCCGCAACTCAGGAGGTGTCCTTCCTGTGAAAGTCAGTGATGAGAGATGCCTTTGTATGTGCATAAATTCTTTCTTCATAATTGCTTCAGCAAAGTAACATCTGTTATGAGCAAAGTCCACAGAGCACCATTAAAGAAATTCAAAATATTCTCTAATCTACCTACCTAGAAATAGCCACTGTTAGCATATCTGATGTATTTCCTTCCATCCCTGTCTTTCCTTTATTTTTCATAAAATTGAGCGTAAGTGCATTCACTTTCATTCTCAATATTATGTTTTGAACACTTGCCATGTCTTTAAATATTTTTTAAAGATATAATAATTTTGTGTAGCTTAAACATGCATTTCTTTGATTTTTTTTTCTTATGTTTACTAAACAGTTTGACTTTTTTCTTCTATTAAATTATCTGTTAATATACTTGGCCCATTTTTATATTTAGAGGTGAGCTGTTTCTTCTTATTTATTGTGAGATGTCAATTTTATTGTTTTTTTTTTTCAGCTTGTTCATAGTTTTTTTATTTGGTTTTGACTTTTAGATAATTGGCCTTTAAGTTTTGAGCATCACATTTGTGATCAATTACATTTTTGAGTTTTCCACTTCTATATACCTTCAAAATCTTACCCCATTTCTAAAGAAGCATTCCACTTTTTCTACTTCTTTTGTTTGTTTGTTTGTTTTTGTTTGTTTGCTTGAGACAGGTCTCACTCTGTCGCCCAGGTGCCATCTCTGCTCACTGCAGATTTGACCTTCTGGGCTCCAGCCATCCTTCCACCTCAGCCTCCCAGGTAGCTGGGACCACAAGTGCGCACCACCACGCCTGGCTAGTTTTTATATTTTTGTAGAGACGGAGTCTTACCATGTTGCCCAGGCTGGTTGTGAACTCCTGGGCTCAAACGTTACTCCCACCTCAGCCTCCCAAAGTGCTGAGATTACAGGTGTGAGCCACTCTGCCTGGTCTTTTTACTTCATTTTTTAACTTTAACCTTTTTACATTGTTTTATTTGATGGGACTATTTTTTAAAAAAATTATTTTTCTATTCACAAAAACAATTTTCAATTTAGAAAATTTTTTACATAAATAAAAATACAAACATCATAAAAATCTCTATAATCACACATAGGAATGACACTGCTAACATTTTCCTGTATTTCTTTTTATGCTTTATATATTTTTAATAAAATTGAGTTTGTTTTATATATATACACACACACTCTTATACATATGTATGTAGTTTGTCTCATCCCTATTATTTAACATTATGTCATATGTATCTCTCTAAGTCATTAGCCTTTAAATTTTTTATTCATTGACTGCAAAATATTTTATCATGGGAACTATATGATATTTAACAAATCTTAATTATTGGACCTACATTATTTTAAACATGACTGAAATCAAAATACTTGTATGTAATCTTTGTGTCCATATCTATCTATCTATCTATCTATCTATCTATCTATCTATCTATCTTTTCCTGGGATGCCAAGACTTGGAATTTGTAGGTCAGAGAGTGTGAATATTTTTGAGATTTTTAGTAAGTGCCACTCTTAAGAAGAGCAAATCCTTTTAAGTCCCTACCAGGAGTCTGCAAATTGCATTCTTCACCACACTCTTCCAAAATCAAGTGTTTTTTAAAAAAACCTTTGCCAATAAACAGAACAAAAAGTGACATTTTATTTTAATTTACATTTGCTTGATTACTAGTGCTGCAGAATATTTTTGCATTTAAATGTTGACTCCATCTGGAATTTATTTTGGTGTTTGAAGTAAGAAGAGGCTCTGGCTTGATTTTTCCACAGTGTTGAAAGTTTCCATCTATCCCCCCCTGTCTGATGATCCTTGTTTATACACTAAGCCCTTATGTAGACTTGAGTTTGAGGACTAACTGCTCTGTCTGTCACTCATAGGTGTACTGGTTTGATCATTGCAGCTTTACCCATTTTACAAATCTGGTCATCATTCTTTTATTCTCGTCCCCCCCATAGCCCATGTACTGTAGAGATGCATCTTGTCAAGTTCCCACAAAAAAATTCCAATTCAAATTGGGAATTTTGAATGAGACTTAGGAAAGCCATAAGTTAACTTGGGGCAAATTAACATCTTTAAATCATTAAGTCATATAGAAGGATCCATCTCCCCATCATTTGAATTTTCTTTTATATCTCTCAATAAAATTTGCGAGTTTTTATCATAAAAGCTCCGTACGTTTCTTGGTAGCATTACCCCTAGGTATTGCATGATCTTTCTTGCTATTTTAATGTAATCTTTTCCGCCATGATGGCTTCCATTATTTTCTTTCTTATAGAAGGCAAAGCTATTAATTTTAGTATATTTTATGGTAATAGCCTTTCAACATTGCAAGTGTGAGTGTTGAGTTTTATCCATTGTATTTCAGCATCGACTGATATCAAGTTGTTTTTGGCCCTAATGGTGAAACTGATCAGAAAAAGCTCTTCATGCAAAACTGTCCTTGAATTATTTACATAAATCCCAGTTTTGAATCTTGCCTTCATGACCTCAAATTTTGGATTCATATCCATGTGGCATATTTATTTATAATTTTTCTGTTTGTGCTACAGTGAGAAGTTTTAAGATCAGGATTCAGCCAGTTTTATAAAATTGGGTTTTTTCCATGATTTTTTCACCAAAGAAATGAGCTCTTCCTTAACAGTTTAAAATAACTCACCAGAAACTTGTCTGGATTTGTGATAAATTTTAGAATAAACGCTCAAACTTTTTTTACATTTCTTCCATATACTTTGATGTGTTTGCAGTTTTTATTCCTTCTTAGATCAATTTTAAATGTTCTCAGTAAAACATCCATTTCACTGAAACTTTTCTCACGTGAAAAATATTTTTCCTATAGTATTTATTCTCTTATAGTTTGAAAATATACTCCAAATCTGTGATTAGAGCTGCTTATTTTTCTGATTTTCTGTTTTCTCTTTTTCTGTTAAGTTTTTCAAAAACTCAACCAGAAAACCAGCTCTTAGATTTATTTTATTAATTACACTGAAGGTTTTCTATGTTTTTTAAATCAGAATTTATGCTGCAATTATAATTTCTTTTCCACTCTTTGATTGGAATTCTTCTTGTTCTTCTACCTATTTTCTTGAAGTGACCACTTCTTTCATTCATTTGTATTCTTTGTTTAAAAAATGAATTCATTTGCCTCTAAGTACAACTTTAGCTACATTTCATGTGTTTGATACAAGTATCATCTTTTAGTATTTTCTAACCAAACTATTAAGAAAATGAATTTAGATTTTGGAGGGTCTGGGCATTTTATTATTTTACTTCTTAAGTTATTGTATAGATTTTTTTGTTTAATTTTTACTGTTAGTTTCAATATTCATAGCACTAGAGTTAGAAAACATGGCTTGTACAGTTTCTACAATAAATTTTGGATCTCCTGACATTTTCTTTGTGGCAATTTATCTTTTAATCATTTCTGGCAAAAGTTGATAAAGATTGTTAAAACCATTATGCTACTTCACCGTTAACTTCTCCTTGCATTTCGAACATTAGATGAATCTGTAGTTTTGTCCATCTGTTGTGTGCATGATGGAGAGTGTATTGGCCAAGCACCAGACTCCAGTGCAGACTCCTGGTCTGCCTTTGATTAGTTATGAGATAGATTCTCTAGTCCTCAGTTTCCCTTCCCCTGAAACAGGGATGAAAACAAGGTAACTCCTACCTCAGGGCTTTAGAGAAATAATCCAAGACAAGTGCCTCACACAGTAACTGGCACATTATACACACTCAAAAAGTACATGTATTATAAAATATACACATTATCCATATGAAATGACTCCATGTTTTCCATGTAATGTTTTTTACCATGAAGATCACTTTTTGGAAAGTAACATTGCTAACCCTGCTTTCCTGGAATCTGTGCTTGCCTAATCAATGTTAGTTTATTTTATTTTCAATCTTGCCACGTTCTAGTTTAGATGTATTCCTTGTTAACAGAATATAATTCGCTGCTTTTGAAATACAACTC
The DNA here is from genome assembly GCF_000001405.40 of Homo sapiens. NCBI lineage: Eukaryota > Metazoa > Chordata > Mammalia > Primates > Hominidae > Homo > Homo sapiens. The sequence goes on along the minus strand of NC_000015.10, from coordinate 93,292,879 downwards.
AAAAGCCTCTGTAAAAGAGTTTTAATCATTTATATTTATTGTCTTGGCTGATAAGTTGTTTCATGCCTGTTATAACTTTTGTACATTTTGGTTCTTTAAGTCAAGTCTTTCCTGCTGTATCTATTTCCTCTCATTTCCTTTTATGAGCTACATTTTTTCTTTTTTTTTTTTTTTGAGACAGAGTTTCGCTCTTGTTGCCCAGGCTGGAGTGCAATGGTGCGATCTCGGCTCACTGCAACCTCTGTCTCCCGGGTTCAAGCGATTCTCCTGTCTCAGCCTCCTGAGTAGCTGGGATTACAGGTGCATGCCACCACGCCTGGCTAATTTTTGTATTTTTAATAGAGATGGGGTTTCATCATATTGGTCAGGCCAGTCTTGAACTCCTGACCTCAGGTGATCCGCCCGCCTTGGCCTCCCAAAGTGCTGGGATTACAGGTGTGAGCCACCGCGCCCAGCGTACATTTTGTTTTTTAATCTACTCTAGGGTTGTAGACTTTAAATACTCAAGGGTTGTAGACTTTAAATCCTTTTAAGAGTTCTACCAGTGGCTGCCTTTAAGTTTTTTGGGCTGTTTGTTTGTTTGTTTGTTTGTTTTGTTCCATTGAGGTGAAATTCACGTAATGTAAAACTAACCATTTTAAAGTTATTCAGTGGCATTTAGTACATTCTCAACGTAGTGCAATCACTCCCCTATTCTTTCAAGTTTTATAAGGAAATTTTTCATCTTATTAATCTAATTACCAAAGTTTGCCTTTCTCTGAGTAAGATGAGGACTTCATCAGGCTCTTTTTCTTTCCAGCATTTCTCTAGTAGAGTTGAGGTTTGCAACCCATTCATAAAAATTTCCAGTGGATAGAATTAAATTTCTTTAAACTCTATAACCTCCGTCAAGAATTATGTTTATAATTAGCACACAATTTTGAATCTTGAAAATCTGCATTCGGTTTCCTTATAGAGGGTTATGGATTGAATCTTGTCCCCTCAAGATTCATATGTAGAAGCCCTAACCCATTAGTACCCTAGAATGGGACTGAATTTGGACAGAGGGCCTTTAAAGAAGTAACCGAGTTAAAATGAAGAGCTTAAGGTGGGTCCAAATTTAATATGACCGATGTTCTTACAAGAAGAGGAAATTTGGACACAGACACATACACAGGGAACACCATGTGAACACAGGAGGAAAACATGGCCACCTGCACACCAAAAAGAGAGGCCTCAGAAGTAATCAACCCTGATGACATCATGATGTCAACTTGCAGCCTCCAGAACTGTGAAACAGTCCATTTCTGCGGTTGAAGCAACCCAGTCTGTGGTACTTCCTTATGGCAGCCTTAACAGACTAACACATACACCAATCACCTTTCCGCCTCAGAACCTCAAGTACACCATCCTCACTTTATCATCCCCTGCACCGGCACCACGTACACACACAAACACACTTCATCTAGTTAATTCCTACTCATCAGAGGACCCCTTTTCTGACCACCTCCAGCCATCTGTATCACCCTTTCTTTGCACCCTGCCCTTCAGTTTCACAGCCATCTGTACAATTATATCGCTGTTTCCGGGACAGCAGTTTACCATATATCCCCAGCCCCTAGCTTAGCACATGTTCGTTGCCACCAATAATTTACCAAATGAATGGTAGAAGTGCTGGATAAATTCAAGTGATTCTGATTTTGATACCTGTCTTGTTTTCACTGTAACACACACCCTTCATTTTTAGCCCAAATGGATTTCATTTCCACACATGGATTTATTTTCTTCAATTGCTCTGTTTTGGCCTTTAGCCTATATTTTGAAATGTCTTACCCGATTATTACAACAATGCCCACAAAAACCCTGCCTACAAGCAGCAAGTGCCGTTGGAGAAAGGCTGTGTATTGTTGTTAATATCACTCAGACAAATAAAGACAAAACCCACACATCATGAAGGTAAATATCCCTCTTGGAGCACCTAAGCTCTATGCCTATATGCAGCCACCGTAATTTGTTTAAAATAAATGTATCCAGCCAGGAAGAGTTATTGGTATTTTTACACTATAAAAGCTTATTTTATAAAAGCATATCCCACAAAACCCCCATCCTCAGATCCTGTAGATAATTAAATGCAGACCAATGCACAGAGCTGCACCTGCCGCCAGTCATTCGCAGGGGAGAAAACAATTATTCTGACAATTAGACCCATAGCAGTGTGTTCCTTGTCAAAGGTCAAAGACACCTATGGATGCTTCTGATCACCTTTTAAGAGCGTAATTAATTTGCCTACTGACAAATTTCAAAATCAGTCTAGGAACCCGCCTGTTAATAACATGATGGATGGATGGGATTTTTATTCTGGGGCTTCGTACTCAGCCGCATTTGCATGTTAGAAACCCTGTGCATCTCTGCCCAGCAGCTTCCAAGAGCTATTCACAGGGCAATGTTCTTCCTATAAATTCAATTATTCCATATTAGGGTCAAGTCCATGCATTCCACCCTGCAGCTGGGAGGGCATTTTTATACAGACCATTTTCTGCCCTGGAGCAACTGTCCCTTGCTACAGGCTTGAATATTTTCAATTCTATATTAAAGAAGCACTTTCCAATACAGAAATGAAATCTATCTGACACCAGTAGTGCCTCTCAAAACTGACACGTGGGGACCTGTCTCCCCCAACCCCCTGTGTAGAATCTGCCCTCTTGTCAATCAGAATTTCTCACAGCTGTCAGGAAGGCAGATAAAACTCTTCACTTTGGCAAGGGTACTTTAACCCCACAGCCCACAGCTCAGCCGAGCAAAACCACCAACCGGCAGAGCGGAGACTTCCATCAGAGGCTAGCTTCAGGAGAGGAAATGCAGCCTCCAGGCACAGATGTGCATCTTCTGGCTAGTAACGTTTGTGAAATGTAAACGGGTTTGAAGGTGCGGTGGGAGGGAGTAAATGTGCAGGGAAATGACATCTTTTCCTTCTCATTTTCCTCATTCTCATTCCTCTACTTTAACTACCCTTTCAAAAATCATGTTTAAGTAATGTAAGGTATGGATCTTACCCTCTGAGGCAAGAGCGAAGGGGGAAAGGCAGGTCAGGAGTAATAGTATGAATTGCCAACCAAGTGCCCAGCAGACCTTGACACCTGATTTAAGTTTCACATGCCTGGTGCGGTGGCTCACGCCTGTAATCCCAGGACTTTGGGAGGCTGAGGTGGGCAGATCCCTTTAGGTCAGGAGTTCAAGACCAGCCTGGCCAACATGGTGAAACCCCATCTCTACTAAAAATACAAAAATTAGGGCCGGGCGCAGTGGCTCACGCCTGTAATCCCAGCACTTTGGGAGGCCAAGACAGGCGGGATCATGAGGTCAGGAGATCGAGACCATCCTGGCTAACATGGTGAAACCCCGCCTCTACAAAAACAATACAAAAAATTAGCCGGGCGTGGTGGCGGGCGCCTGTAGTCCCAGCTACTCGAGAGGCTGAGGCAGGAGAATGGCGTGAACCCAGGAGGCGGAGTTTGCAGTGAGCCGAGATCACGCCACTGCGCTCCAGTCTGGGCGACAGAGCGAGACTCCGTCTCAAAGAGAAAAAAAGAAGGAAAGAAAGAGGGAGATGGGACACAGTATAGACTCCAGAGCCGGGCTTCTCCCTGCTTCTCTGGGCATCTTTTCCCTTCCTCCTCGACCTCCAGGATCCACAGACCCAGGCAGGCAAAGTCTGCACGAGGGCTGCCCCAGAATTCTGGTCAAGGTGCCAACAGGAACAAAAGATACACAGTGAGCGGGTGGCCTTTGTAATCACCTTTCCTGCTATAAACAATTCCTTTCCTCACTAGTGTTGCTCTGAGGCTGATTGATGCTCTTGGAGCTGGAAATCCATGAGAAAGTCCCTTTCCCTCTCCAAACTGAGGGCTTCCAGTGGATTCAGCAAATGTGCCAAGCACCCCCAACCCCCGCCCACTGCACCGTCCCCACCCCCAAGCTGTCCACAGTGAATGGCAGCATGGGGCAGGAAGCAAGCCTGCCAAGTACTGTTCTCGGGCTCAACGCTCCCCAGACAGGCTCCAGCTTCCCATGTCAAAGCCCAGCGCCTCAGTACTTTCTGAAGGCCTTGGGCCTTGATGAATATGTGAGAAAAACAAACATTTGTCCCAGGGTTTGGGAAAGGAAGGAAAGGAAGCTTGGAGAAAGACTCCCCCAGGCAGGCCTGGGAAACCCCAAGGGTCTAATTGAAAGGGTTTGAAATAGGAAATATGAAATCTAAACCCAGATGGTTCTTTTTCAAAGGGAGCAAACCATTCATTACACCGATTCCTTCCTACAGGATCACCTTAAAAATAAAAACAAGAAGCACACCTTCCCCCACGGCTGTCTCGCTGCCGAGTTCCGTCATGATCATGTGGCTGAACGGAACAAGAGTGAGGCAGAGGTGGTTGGTGGGGAGCAGGGGTAATGTCTTCCTTATCTGCCCTCTTGGGTCAAGCTGGTATTAGGGATATTGCTGTCTCCTTCGGGACCCTGGGTTCCATTTCAAAATCATTCCCTGAAAGGGCACCCAAAGGAAAAGGATAATAGAACCTGTTGAAGCCAAGTGGCCCAAGCAAGCTTGGAGATCAACTTGTTGAGGAGGACCTTGAACGAGGTGAGCAAAGCCCTCACCCCGCCCACCCTGCCCAGCTCAGCTGCCCTGGCCTGGAAAGAAAAACTGAGCAACACCTGAGAGAAGGAGACTGAGCAAGGGCACCTGCAATCATGAAGCCCCTATCCAAGAGAAGCAGACCCACCCACCTTGTTTATTCACCTTCCCTTTGACTTACTCCTGTGTGCGCAGAACACTGGGGAGCTGGACACAGCTTAGGCAGACCTGACATTTCCAAATTTCCAGCACTCCTCCACGAGGCCCTGTGGTCATCAATACTGCACCCCGGGGACCCTTACACACCCTGTATTTCACTAAGTCTAGACACTGTCTATTGTAAGGTGCACCATTGTTTTAGAGACCCTAAGAAGGGGGTAAAATGCTACCACTGAGACCATGACATGCCATCAATTTTTAGAAGCAGACTGATTTCAAAGATGTTAATATGCAAAAAAGAGCATCTCGGAATCAATGAAATTCGTTAATAGCTGACATTGGCTGGGAACATAGCCGGTGCCAGGCCCAGTGCCAATGCTTCCCGTGGATCACCTCGTCCACTCCCCACAACTATAATTATCCCCATTTTTCAAATGAGGAAAGTAGGTCTTCAAGAGCTGAATTAGCTTGCCCAATATCACGCAATGAGGCCAGGATGCACATTCCGGCCTGCCTGAATCCAGCACACAGCGTTTATACCTGGGAAGCCCAAGTATATTTGGATCTTGAAAAGAGGTATGTTCAGCCCTCATCCTGCTGAAATTCTGATTAATTCTGGAGGGCTGTTGACAAAACTGCATTGTATCCAAGCATCCAGGTCATCTGGATGGAGCCAGGCTTGAAGAACCTGAAGGAAGCCTCCACATATGGGTTCATAAATGCTAGTCCTAGGGTATGGCCACAGTATAGTGAGTGTTGGAAAACACTGCTTAGTTTCTTCGGATGGATAACTAATAGCTAATGTGATGCACTAAATGCAGTGGCCTGTGGCATTTTGAGAGCCCCCTTTATTTTTCTGAGACAGAGTCTCGCTCTAACATCCAGGCTGGAATGGTGCAATCTCGGCTCACTGCAACCTCCATCTCCTGGGTTCAAGCGGTTCTCTTGCCTTAGCCTCCTGAGTAGCTGGGACTACAGATGCCCGCCACTATGCCTGGCTAATTTTTGTATTTTTAGTAGACAGAGGGTTTCACCATGTTGGCCAGGCTGGTCTCGAACTCCTGACCTCAGGTGATCCGCCTGCCTCGGCCTCCCAAAGTGCTGGGATTACAGGCATGAGCCACCTCACTCAGCGTTGACAGCAGTCTTAACACCTTCAGAGAATTGCTGTGTCCTAGAAATCCAGCTCCTGCACAGCTGAAAAAGCACACTGCCACTCCAACATCAAGGCCCTACTCAATATCTGAACATTGGCATAAGTCAAGCGCTGGGTCCAGAACACTTATGTCACTTTGGGCTACCACATGCAGACAAATATGGGTCCACTGAGCACAGAGGGGGGAAAATTGCTTCTTTCCGATCCTATTTTCTTTGCTCTATCCCCTAATCCTCAGCACAACTCAGCAACCCCATGGCAAATGATGCAGCCTCCAGAAGCTGGGGACAATGCAAATTCTTTCTGTTAGAATAAATAGTGACTTACACATTCCTAGCTGATGATGGGCCCTGGATGGGAGGGACATGGGTTTCAGTCACAGCTCCACTCCACTTGCCTTGCAACTTGGAGTGTCTCTATAAACCTATCTGTTCATCTGCATAATGGGAATTACTAGTATCTCCCTCAAGCATTTAACACAAGACTCAAATTTAGTGAGTTCCTTTTATTCTCTAAAACCTAAACATATGTGATGCAGCATTTTTAAATGGAAGAAAAATAGTTACATCAATAAATCAAACAATAGGAGGAAAAGCAACTCCAAAAAAGAGCTGATAATCTCTCTTTCAGTTTGTATTAGGTTGATGCAAAAGTAATTGCGGTTTTTGCCATTACTTTCAATGGCAAAAACCGCAATTACTTTTGCATCAACTTAATAGTTCTTAAATCTTTCTAGCAACAGAGCAGGTGTTAGGGACACTGGCTCTGGGTGGTTGGGTTTGCATCTTGTTCCAGTGACTTTTCCTAACCCTGTGAAGAACCGGGGAAGACTTTGAAATGGGCACACAAGATAACTGGGTGTTCTGGCTCCTGTGTCCACTGGGTTACTTCCACCTTGCATTAACTTAAAGCTCTTTTACAATTCTCTAAATTACAGAAAATTTATAGTAAGGCAAATTGTTCTTGTCCGTAGAAATGCAGATGTGTTTCAGTAACATCTTACTGGTTCTCTCATTCATTAACGAGTTCAATGAAATCTCTGACTTGTGTTCATTTTACGTTAGTATGAGGAGTCATGATTTTACTTTTTGAAAACATTTACTTTGTGAAAGCATTTAACCTTTGACACTAAGCCTCTATTTCCTCATCTGTATAATGAAAATTATAAAGATGTCCATATCTTAGGGTGGTAATGAGGATTAATGGGATAGCCATACAAAGCCCTTAGCAGTGTCTGGCACATCCTAAGTACTCAATAAACTTTACTAAACAAGACAATTAAGCTGTCAAAATTGAGTAATGGCTAATGAATAGAGTGTTCTCAGTTGTAAGTTGTTCTCCAGTATTTTTTTCTTAAGTATTTATCACTCTTATTGCTTCTTTACTCGTGAGCACTCACAGATCAAATAAATAAATAAATAAACAGCAAATGAATGTTGATTTTAAAACTTGGAGGGATACAATTATGATTCATTTAAAAATTTGAATTTAGAAAGGATTTGGGTTTTCATTTGTTTTTTATGGACACATTATATCTGCCCATGGTTGCAAACGTATATTATATACATAATATATATTATGTAACTAATTATTTATAGTTCATTGACGAAGACAACTGTATCAATATTTCATAGTCTCCCCCAAACAATGCAGGGACTTCCAAATGTCCTGCACCTGAACAACCTGAAGATCACTTATCTAATGGGCTCACTAAAAATAGCAGACAGGGAATCAGAGTACCTACTCCTGATAGACTGATTGTATACATACGTGATTAAGCCAATCTAGTTCATCTGGGATTAAGGACGCTTCAGAATGGGAACTTAGAGAAAGGCAGAAAAATAAAACAGCAGCTGCCAGGGGTGTAGCACTTGACTTATCTGTGTATCCATCCAGCAACAGATATTTTGCCATGTCCTCAAGAAGTTCAGAGTCTAGTAGGGGAGAGGAACAGTTTTCATGAAGACTTTCCCAAAACAGAGAGTGTATGATGAGCTCCCGCGGAGGTAAACAGAAGCAGAGACGCAGGGGCAAAGCTGATATCACAGAGGAGGCAACACTTCCATTGGTCCTTGAAGGATGAACCGGGTTTGAGAAGCGAACACGTCAGGGAGTGATATTTCAGGCAGAGGGACAGGAAGCGCTAAAACAGGTGTGAAAGAGCCTACTGACGTAGGGAAGAGAAAGACATCAATTTGGCTTGAAATAGTGAAATAAATGACATAAGGCTAGAAAGGTAGCCAGGGCCACATCAATGAAACCAGACTTTTTTTTTTTGAGACTGAGTCTCGCTCTGTCGCCCAGACTGGAGTGCAGTGGCGCGAACTCCGCTCACTGCAAGCTCTGCCTCCCGGGTTCACGCCATTCTCCTGCCTCAGCCTCCCCAGCAGCTGGGACTACAGGCGCCCACCACCACACCCGGCTAATTTTTTGTATTTTTCAGTAGAGACGGAATTTCACCGTGTTAGCCAGGATGGTCTCGATTTCCTGACCTCGTGATCTGCCCGCCTCGGCCTCCCAAAGTGCTGGGATTACAGGAGTGAGCCACCGCGCCCGGATTAAACCAGCCTTTTAAGCCCTACAGCCCCCAGAGGCTGATACTACAGTCCCATGTAAAACTAGTGAAGTTTGAAGACTAAGCTTATAAATTTTCTAATCACTAGAGCTAGATTTTCAAAACCTATACTTTTTCTCAAGATGTGATATTATAAAGACCTAAGAACCATGAGAATCTGAAAAGACAACTGAAAGCCCTCACTAACAACAAATTTCTGGAATACATCACACTCCTAGAGAAAATGTCCCTTATTTATGGGGGCAGAACAAAGAACTGTACTCTGTCCAGTGAGGGATGCCCAAGACTCCTTCTAGTTGTTGCTTAGCACGGCCTCTGTTCACAAATGAAAGCATCCGTGGAAGTGCCGGGCTGCTTCCTACGCAGCTGTCTTTTATTTCCATAAAGCTGTTCTTTGGCAGAGAAGCAGAGGCTGGTGGCTCTTTCCCTCCAGCCCTGTCCTCCCCACACTGAACTGTATCTGCATTACTAGGCACACACCAAGCACTCAGGATGATCTTCAGTCATCCTGAACCCTGAGGGGGTTATGGCTGGGGGATCCTTGCAGGAGATGAAGAGGATTTCCTTGGCTCATCTTTCCATTCCATGGTTCTCGAGGAGCATTTCCCCAGCAAGAAGATGGCCAAGAGATATCTACATGTACACACACTGTTCTATGCAAGTGATTCTCTGCACCTGAGCAAAGCAGCATGCCAGTAGCAGCAAAGCCATTTGAAGGGCATCATCAACCCTCAGATACATTCACCTCAGCTAAAAACAAGCACAAATAAAGGCTGCCTTTTTCCTACTTTCCTTCTCTTCCCCATTACCAAATGTGAAAGGACAGTCTTCAAACTGCCGAACTGGAGAGGTTGGCATGGGCTTCAAAAGTCAGCCACACTCATCCAAGCCATGCCTCCAACTTTCCAATATGGCGGCCAATATCTCAAGTGCTAACTTCAAGTCTTTCCCTGAATTCAGCTAGCCACTCCCACTTAGGCACAAATTGGAAATGCAGGTCAGTCCTGCAGTGTGTTTCCTAGGAACACCGGTTCGTATTTGGAAGAGCAGAGTCAGAACTTCCACCTCCATGATATGTTTTATCCAAAGCCAAGGCCTCACCTTCCCATGGGACATGTAGGTAAAGGGACCCAGTTTTGACTGTAAGGGCAGAATCATATAAAATTCAAATAGTAACTTTGGTGCATTTAGGAAGTCATGTTGGGAAGGAAAAACTGGAAGCCTTACAGGAACCTCTCAATATTCAAGGTGGGTGTATTTTATAGCAATGTCCACATGTCCTGGGCTGTCCAAGACAGTCAGCCTCCTTTTAAATATGTCGATTGAAATGTCCTGATGTGAGGGTTGGAGTTAGTTGTACACAACAAAATGGCAGAAAAGCCAACAGCAGACTGGCTGGGGGAAGCGGCTGGGGGACATTGAGTAGGTGGGACAGTGCAGCTGGGGACAGAGCAGAGAGAAGTGATGCAGGACCAGCTTGGAGCTGAGGTGAAGGAGGAAAGATGACAATCATTCTTTATAAAAGGACCATCAAAGTTAAATAACAGGCGACCAGAGAAGGAAAGAAATCACAGAACATCATTGTGTGTTCTGTGATCTATTAGGGATTAGATGCTTTCCTTCTCAGATGCCAAAAACAATAAATCTCTGGTTTCATGTTATAAAAATGAACATTTTAATTATTAGGAAATTTTTATTCATACAACATAAGGAAAAAGATAGCATTACAGTACCTAAGGGGCAAAAGTTAATTTACACACTTCACACTCTTTAGGAAAGTAATAACTTTGTTGATTTTTTTCTGATTATAATAAGGATCCTTATTATATGATCCTTAATAAGGATCCTTATTAAATGATAAAAAAGAGAAATCACTAGGAATTATAAAGACAAGAAATATCAACCATAATTTCACCACCCAGCCATCAACATCTGGGTGCCTATCTTTCCAGACTCTTCTATTCACATATATTATTTAATGTAAAAAATGAGAAAGAACTATACATGGTATATCTTGCTATTTCCCTTGTTTTTTTGTAGACATCTTTTCACATCAGCAAATTATCATGCCAAACCCCTATTGACTCCAGTGGGGAAGGCACCAGATTCAAGAGGCTGAAGAAAAGACTCAGAGCCAGAAAACGAGGCATGGGGGCTTACCTGCAGAGGAGGGAGTCCAGTGCTGGTGGGCTGGACAGGAGAACTGTAACCGATTGCAAAAGGCATGCAGTTTATGTAGCAGTTTCCTTTAGTACCTTCCCTCCCAACAGCCTCCTCCTGGCAACCTTCATGCAACCCAAAACTCGGAGCCACAGTCTTCTGTATGGCCTATGTTTTACGGGACGGGCCAGAGGCTCAGATGTTCCTCATAGACAAAAAATGAGTCTCCGTGTTTCCCACTCCCGGATTCCCTAGCTCAGAACACACATTCAGGTGTGTCTGCCATACAAGGCCATTCTCAGTGTGTGCCTACGTTATTGCTAACAGGTGCATTTGTCAGAGGCGTTCAAACCACAGCCACTCCATTTTGAGTGAGAGCCAGGAAAATAAGGCTGGAACTTGCCGGGCTGCACTCAGAAAATTAGGCATTCCTAGCCTCTAAATGTTTACAGTTAAGGGAACAAATTAATAATGTTTACTAAACAGACCCAGATTTGGGAGCATGCAGATATCTTGATATCTGGAGAACAAAAACATTCCTAATTTTGCTTTAAAGATAATATCGATTCTTGCAAAATATTGTAATTAAGAAAATTAATCCTTCATCACGAACCCTTGTAGCAGAGAACATCTCCCCACATATAGAACCGTTTTACCTAGGATGGACACGTTCCTCCTCTTAGTTTCAGGAACGTCCTACTCTGTCTATGGAGTAGCTGTTCTTTCACTGCTTTACTCTCTTCATAAACTTGGTTTTGCTTTTCACCGCAGACTGGCCCTGAATTCTTTCTCGGCGAGATCCAAGAACCCTCTCTTGGGGTTCGGATCGGGACCCTTTCCTGTAACACATTTACCATACACAAATATAAATCTACATCATCATTTACAATGACCCTATACTATTCCATGAGATAACATGCCTTCATTTTTTTAATCCTGGACAGAGAGAAAAGTGTTTCCAATTGAGCTGTATTATAAACACTCCTGAGGCACACATCCTTGTGCATAACTCTTGGCTCTTTGCCTAATTATTTCTTAGGAGAAAATCCCTAGACCTGGAATTGCTGAATTGAGCATTTGCACTTTTTCGAAGGGTGTTGATTGATGTTACCAAGAAGCCCTCTGGAAAGGCTGGACCAATGTCCCCCTTCGCCAGCAATATAGGGAAACATCCTCTCCCTAGACCTTCACCAACTCTGGGCGTTGGAAAACGCTTCTACTTCCGCTCGCACTTTTTTTTTTTTTTTTTTTTTTTTTTTTTTTGACAGAGTCCCTCGCCCAGGCTGGAGTGCAGTGGCGTGATCTCGGCTCACTGCAAGCTCCACCTCCCGGGTTCACGCCATTCTCCTGCCTCGGCCTCCCGAGTAGCTGGGACTACAGGCGCCCGCCACCGCGCCCGGCTAATTTTTTGTATTTTTTAGTAGAGACGGGGTTTCACCTTGTTAGCCAGGATGGTCTCGATCTCCTGACCTCGTGATCCGCCCGCCTCGGCCTCCCAAAGTGCGGGATTACAGGCGTGAGCCACCACGCCCGGCCCGTTGGCACCGCTTTGTCTTGACCTCCAACGTGCCTGGACAGAATCCCCGAAAGGGGAGAGAGGAGACCCAGGCAGAGGCAGGCACTCTGGGTACAGGGAGCTCCTTTCCCCGGCCTTTCTCTTCCCAGGCGGAAAGTGAAAAGGCCCCAGGGGACAATCTCTGTGTCAACCGGAGGTTGGAAAAACTCGAGGGAAAGAAGGGGCCCAGCGTTGTTTGTAACGCGCCTCCTTCACACGCCCAGGTGGAAAGGCTTTCCCTCCCCCTTCGCCTCCTCCGTCCCAAACAACAGCTGCTGGCGTTAGCCGGCGAGGAAGAAAGGGGAAAAGCAAACACAAGGGCGAGCAGGGAACAGCTCGGTCCTGCAGGTTAGAAGGGCAGGCTGTTCCCACCAGGGACCCCCTTTCAGCTGCAAACTGCCGTGTTTGACATTTCAATGCGGCCTAGGGGAGGGAAACGAGGAAGAGGAGAGAGCAAAGGGGGCCGGCCCGAAGACCTGAATAAGGCAAAGGAGACAAAAAATCTGCTTCTCTTTAATTCCAACACTTGTTCTTTCTGCCTTTTCTCCCTCAGCAGAATGTGACATTCAGGAGCAAATGGGTTTTCTCTCACTCTCTTTTTCTTTTTTTTTTCCCTTTGACATTTAAAAACAATATACACTTGGGTGCATTGAAAGTTGGGGAGGAGTTGGGGGAAGAGGGAAGAGGAAGATTGTTTCTGGAAGAATTGAACCTCAGGAAAGCTGCTTTCATCTTCCTTGTGACTTGTCCTGGCAGCCGAATTCCTTTTCATCACTTTGGAGAGGAAACGTGAAAGGACTTGGATTTTGCAAGCAAAAAAAGTAAAGTCTCCCCTATCTAGTGAATGTGCACTGTGGTGGGGGAGGGACTTGCGTATTCCTTGGGAAGGATCTTAGAACATGAAGGGGCAGTATTCCGGTGAAGCAAACCCCAGAAAACAATAGCAACAATACGTCTGAATGGGGGCCAGGGTTAAGCTGGGGTCAGAGCAAGGCTTTTCTCTCCCCACCCATGACTGAGGCTGAGCTTGTGGCACGGGGATGAGCACCACTGCTTCGGGTGGGAGTAGGGGTGAGGGGTGGGGGTGAGGGGGTGCCAGAGCCCAGGCTCCAGCTTTGGCTCCTGGATACACTGCTAGATGGAACAGAAAACACACTTCACGGCCAGGCGCAGTGGCTCACACCTGTAATCCCAGCACTTTGGGAGGCTGAGGCAGGCAGATCATCTGAGGTCAGGAGTTCCAGACCAGCCGGGCCAACATGGTGAAATCCCGTCCCTACAAAAAATACAAAAATTAGCCGGGTGTGGTGGCAGGTGCCTGTAATCCCAGCTACTCGGGAGGCTGAGGCAGGAGAATCGCTTCAACCTGGGAGATGGAGGTTGCAGTGAGCTGAGATTGCGCCACTGCACTCCAGCCTGGGAGATAGAGCGAGACTCCGTCTCAAAAAAAAAGGAAAGAAAACCCACTGCACAGTCAGGCTTGTCTCTTCCAATTTTTCTATCCCTCTCCCCAATTTGCAGATGAGAAAACTAAGGCCCAGGAAGATTAGATAGAATACTGAGAGTCACAGAGCTGGGTGATCCAGGCCCAGGACACAAGTCCTTTCCCTACCAGTGAAAGAACTGCCTCCCTCTCGCTGCCTGCCTCTCCAGCTCACTCCCTCTTCTGTCTATTAAAAAGAGATTGATCCTCCCCTCTCCATCTAAGTCACAGTCATGCAGTCGCAGTGGCTTTCTTCACCCACAACAGAGCAAAAGTAGCCAGGAAATCAAGTGATGTGTCCCCTTGGGGATGGAGAGAGGAGAAATATCACTCAAGCTGGGCCAGGAAATCAACAGGTTTGTGTCAGGCCTCTGAGCCCAAGTCAAGCCATCGCATCCCCTGTGACTTGCACGTATATGCCCAGATGGCCTGAAGTAACTGAAGAATCACAGAAGAAGTGAAAATGCCCTGCCCCACCTTAACTGATGACATTCCACCACAAAAGACGTGAAAATGGCCGGTCCTTGCCTTAACTGATGACATTACCTTGTGAAAGTCCTTTTCCTGGCTCATCCGGGCTCAAAAAGCTCCCCCACTGAGCACCTTGAGACCCCCACTCCTGCCCACCTGAGAACAAATCCCCTTTGACTGTAATTTTCCTTTATCTCCCCAAATCCTATAAAACCGCCCCACCCTTATCTCCCTTCGCTGACTCTGTTTTTGGACTCAGCCCGCCTGCAGCCAGGTGATTAAAAGCTTTATTGCTCACACAAAGCCTGTTTGGTGGTCTCTTCACTCCGACGCGCATGAAAGTTTCAAAGTGAGGGAAAGGACAACAATGTTTTCACTCTGAATTCCCCAAGGACTTCAAATGGCTATGGCTGGGGAGATTTCCTGACCTAGCCACCCTGACCCCTGAGAAATGGCTGTGTTCATGGCCTGGAGAGGTGAGTAACTGAAGGATCGCAGGCCATCAAGCACCAGGCCTGAAGCCAAGCTGCACAGCTGCCATGGGGAGGGCTGGCTGGCTTCTCCGCTCTTGCAGGCCCACGATGACGGCGATGGTGACAGGACTCACTGGGCCACACTGCACTTGTCTCGGGAGGACAGCACCATGCCACCAGGAGCCAAGGGCATGGAAAAATAACGTTCTCCAGTTAGCCTAAGGCAAATGGGAGTCTAGCATTATGCGTATTTTAAAAGATATGACCTTATTCTGTACCCCAAGCTGGTGAAGTGAGAAATATGGATTGTATAAGTTAATGTCTAGACTCCCATCAGAGTATTTTAAACCCCTTTAGCCTCCATGTATGACCAGAAAGGACTAGTCTGAATTTAAAAAAAAAAAAAAAAAAAAAACACTTTTCCTACACCACAAATTATTAGGTAATGGAATAAACCTTTTTTTTTTCAAAAGTAACTTTTAATTTTAGAATGGTTTGGATTTACAGAAAAACTGCCACAATAGTACAGAGAGTTCCCATATACCCATAAACCTCAAGCAATTTTCCCCTGCTAATAATATCTTCTGTTAGTATGGTACATTCATTACAATTAATGAACCAATAGCAATGTATTATTGTTATTATTAACTAACATCCATACTTTATTCAGATAGCCTTAGTTTCTACCAATGTCCCTCCACTCTTGCAGGATACCACCCTGGACACCACATCACATTTAGGCATTGCCTCCTTCAGCTCCTCTTGGCCCTGACGGCTTCCCAGAGTGTCTTTGGTTTTGATGGCTTTTCAAATGTGAGAGGTATTGATCAGGCATTCTGCAGACTCTCCCTTCATCGGGATTGCTCTGATGTTTTCCTGGTGATTAGACTTGGGCGAGGGATTTAGGGAGGAAGACCTCAGAGATGAAGAGCCATTCCCATCCCATCGTATCAGGGCATGTACAGTTAGCATGGTTCGTTGCTCTTAACCTTGACCACCTGATTGAGGTGGTGTTTGTCAGGTGTCTCCACCGTACTCCTTTGGAGTTCCTCCTTCCACACTGTACTCTCTGGATGGAAGTCCCGATGCACAGCCCACATGAAAGGAGAGAGGAGTTACGCTCCACCTCCTCGAGGGCGGAATATTGACATGAATTATTTGGATTTCTTCTCACCGGGAGGTTTGAAAGAGACTGTTTTCTTTTTTTTCTTTTTTCTTTCTTTTTTTTTTTTTTTTTTTTTTTGAGACAGAGCTTCGCTCTTGTTGCCCAGATTGCAATGGCGTGATCTCCGCTCACTGCAACCTCCACCTTCTGGGTTCAAGCGATTCTCCTGCCTCAGCCTCCTGAGTAGCTGGGATTACAGGCATGCACCTCCACGCCCAGCTCATTTTGTATTTTTATTAGAGACGGGGTTTCTCCACGTTGGTCAGGCTGGTTTCTAACTCCGGACCTCAGGTGATCCGCCTGCCTCGGCCTCCCAAAGTGCTGGGATTACAGGTGTGAGCCACTGCGCCAACCTGAAAGAGACTGTTTTCTAAATGTAAGCTGAAATGACTCGTTTCACATCTGCATTTTTAGTAAATAGGTGTTGGAGTATATCAGGGGCTCTCGAACAGTGTTCCACAAAGCTGTGAGGTTCCAAGAAGAAAGTTAGAGGCTTCGGGAGGAAGCAGGCAGTGAGCAGGGCTCCAGCCTCGGTGCTCAGATTACCCAGAGCCAAGAGGAGGCTGAGGAGACGTGACATCTAAATGCGATGTGAGATCCAGGGTGGGGATCCAGGGGATCCCAACTATTATTGGCTTCTATTTTAAGTATTCACATGAAATGGATTTTGCAGAAAATAATTTTGCTTGTAAAAAATAAGCTTGCAATACTCCGAAAGGTTGACTGTGAATGCCTCTACTACTTCCAGTTACCTACCTTCTAATAACATCACGAGATCACGTATTACTCATTAGATCCCATTTTTAAAAAGAAACAAAAATATTCTGTAGTAAAAGCTTTTGGGTTTTGTTCCCCTAATTTTTCCTGTGGAAAATACTGGGTAAAGTGAAAATCATCTTCAGATATGAAACCTGCAAGTCATGATCAGCTGCTAAACCGAATGTGACTATGAAGAACTGGCTCGCTCAGCCGCCCTCATCCTCAGTTCATGTCATCCCGTTTCTCGCTGAATCAGGCCACATGCATGGCCTAAAGATCTGGCTGCACAAGGCCAGGTGCGGTGGCTCACGCCTGTCATCCCAGCACTTTGGGAGGCTAAGGCGGGCAGATCACGAGGTCAGGAGATCGAGACCATCCTGGCTAACACGGTGAAACCCCGTCTCTACTAAAAATACAAAAAAAAAAAATTAGCCAGTCGTGGTGGCGGGCACCTGCAGTCCCAGCTACTCGGCAGGTTGAGGCAGGAGAATGGCGTGAATCCGGGAGGCAGGGCTTGCAGTGAGCCGAGATCCCGCCACAGCACTCCAGCCTGGGCAAGTCTCCATCTCAAAAAAAAAAAAAAGATCTGGCTGCACAAAAGGTTAAAATCTCGCCTCTCTTCTTTATTCAGCCATCTCCCTGCAAACCCGAGTTTATGTGTGAGGTGCTCTGGGTCCCCAGGCAGCAGCAATCCCTCCCAATTCCTATTCAACTTGATTTTCCAAAGTGGCAGATTTGAGTTGATGCAGCCGAAGAAGCCAGCTAAGTGTCTTCCTGAGAATAGCCTGTCCCATCTCTTTCTAAAAGGAGAGCAGATATTGCCGCAATGACAGCTGGTTGGGTCTCAGTTTTCCTGTCCACGGAGAAAAGGCCCTTCCACACTGATGCTTATTAATGGGCGATTTGGGGGGCGATTTGCCAAAAACACTAGAACCCACCACACCTGGGGATCCAGTCAACACGGTTTACTGGAAAGCGCTTTGCTTGGCAGGCAGATTGAAGTTCTAACTTTGGTGCTGTTACTTAGTGATTGCTTGAACTTGACCAAGTGACTTTACTTCTGAGCCTCAGTTTTCACATGTGTAGAATGGCAATAATAATGTCCCCACAGCCCTTATGAGGAGGAATAAGATGATATGTACACAGCGTCTGGCCCAAGGTGGGCACTAAGTGCATGAGAGCTACTGATGTGATTAAAGACAGGAAAAGTTGTTTCTAAGTACAATGTACTTGCTTCTCCTTATTATTATTATTATTACTAATTTTTTTTTTTTTTTTTTTTTTTTGGAGACAGGATCTCCCTCTGTCACCCAGGCTGAAGTACAGTGGTGCAATCATAGCCCACTGCAGCCTCAAACTCCTGGGCTGAAGTGATCCTCCCACCTCAGCCTCCTGAGCAGCAGGGACCACAGGTGTGCACCACCATACCCAGCTAATTTTTTAATTTTTTGTAGAGACAGAGTCTCACTTTGGTGCCCAGGCTGGTCTCAAACTCCTGACCTCAAGGGATCCTCTCGCCTCAGCCTCCCAAAGCATTGGGATTACAGGCATGAGTCGCCACACCCGGCCTCTCCTTGTTAATGAAAACTCTAAAGCACCATTTACAAAGAAGACAGCTGGTACTATCACCCTACAGTGGAAAACAGATCATTGAGTAGGGTCTTCCGCTGGGTCTATTTTCCAAGAAAACAAGTTGCCTAGGAAGCAAAGAATTGGGAGAATGTACCAGGAAGAGGTTGCATCATTACAGTAAACCCTTACACCACACTTACAGTGCATCTGGGTGACGGGTCTAAGCCCTTTACACCTGTGAATTCGTTTAAGCCTCTCAACAACTCTACGCAATAGAGACCATTATTATTATGCAGCTTCACAATTCTGGAAGCTGATCCTCATCATGGTTAAGTAGCTTGCCCTCCCCCAGCTGGTTAGCAGGGGGATTCAATTCCAAGCCAGGCGGTCTGACTGCAGAGCCCATTGTTGGAACTGCTACTCCTTTTTGAGCAAGGGAAAGTTAATCTTCCTATGACTGTAGTGGAAATGCTCCTTCGGTAAGAGGAGCTGTGTGCACGAGGCCAGATTTGTAAGTGACAGAAGAGACTAGAGTTGATTTGAGCAGAAAATAAATTTATTTAAAGTATCTGAAATTAAAAGCATTTGAAAAGTGTGTCAAATACAGACAATGACTGGGAAGGGAGAGGGACTGTTCTAGATTTCAAGAGACTAAAAGACATGAGGCATTTTTGGAAAGTGTACAAATTTGAATAAGGACTGGATATTACGTATTATAAAATTGTTCATTTTCCTAAGGTGACAATGGAATTACGAAGATGGAGAACGTTTTCATTCTTAGGAGATCATGCTGAAGGATTCAGAGGTAAAGGATCATGATGTGGGCATCTCAGTTTCAAATAGTTCAGCAAATATGTGTGTGTGTGCATACGCGTGTGTGTGGAGACAGGGCTTGTGACTGCAAGCATGGAAAAATGTTAACAAATCATTAAATCTGGATAAAGGCAAATATGATGTTCATTGTGCTATTCTTTTCATTTCATTGTAAATTTTAAATTATTCAAAAATTAAAACTTGTTAGAAAAAAATTCTTATGTATATGGATTGAATAGATTAACACCCCAGTCCTGACACACAGCAGTGCAGGGGACAGCACACCATAGCAGCCAGTGCAGACGGCTTCTATCACCAGCCCCACCAGCATGGGCCACCTCTTGCCACCACCAGCACCCCCATAACTATGCAATTATCACAGCCATACACCAGAGAGCATTTCCCATAGGCCATCCCCAATCCCACTTGTCTGTGGATGGAATATCTGCTGTTTTTCTGCTCCCTGGATGCAAGGGAGGCCAAGAACAAGTATCAGCCATTTCTGCTTCTACGGAGGGAGGAAAATTCCCAGAGAAAAAGGCTCCAGATGTTGGGTGGCCAAAAATACCACAAAAATCCCCGAGCAGAAGTGACGTGCTACATATCCCTTTTGTCTTGACTCCTGAGAGTTCAGAGTTTGATATTTTTGCTAAGTTGCTTCTGCTGTCCTTAGTTAAGAACTGTGATAGTTGTCCTTACTACCATTTGGTTCTTGTTCTCTTATCTTTGCTTCTTTATCATTTTACTGTCTTTCTTCCTTTTATTGTTAGCCACCTCCAATTATTATTTCTTTGTACATAGGTCAGTAATCAATAATAAGTGAATGATCACATTAGTAAGGGGCATACAGGCTGGGTGTAGTGGCTCACACCAGTAGTCCCGGCACTTTGGGAGGCCAAAGCAGGAGGATCACTTGAGACCAGGAGTTCGAGACCAGCCTAGGCCACAGAGCAAGACCCCATCTCTACAAAAAATATATAAAAATTGGCCGGGTGCAGTGGCTCACGCCTGTAATCCCAGCACTTTGGGAAGCCAAGGCGGGTGGATCATAAGGTCAGGAGATCGAGACCATCCTGGCTAACACGGTGAAACCCCATCTCTACTAAAAAATACAAAAAAAAATTAGCCAGACATGGTGGCGGGTGCCTGTAGTCCCAGCTGCTCAGGAGGCTGAGGCAGGAGAATGGCGTGAACCCGGGAGGCAGAGCTTGCAGTGAGCTGACATCGTGCCACTGCACTCCAGCCTAGGTGACAGAGCAAGACTCCATCTCAAAAAAAAAAAATACATAAAATAAATAAAAATTTTAAAAAATATTTTAAAAAATATACAAATTAGCCAGGCACAGTGGTGAACGACTGTAGTCCCAGCTACTCAGGAGGCTGAGGTGGGAGGATCCACTGAGCCTGGGAAGTCAAAGCTTCAGTGTGCAGTGATCGCACCTCTGCACTCCAGCCTGGGCAGCACAGTGAAATCCTGTCTCAAATAATAAATAAACGAATGAATAAGCGGCATACAAGGCTAGCAGTGGACCCTGGGCCTCCAAGCCTGGCTACCTTAGCAATTCCCCACACAGGGCCCCAACCCTCCTCCTGGTCTTGATTCATCCAGATTCTTCTATCACTTATCTTGAAAGTGGGTCCAAGTTTCCAACCACTCTGAGCATAACCTTCCTCCTGCATAACACAGCCAGAAGCTTGAGGAGCATTATTTAATTTCTTTTTCATATCTGTGTGGCGGTACTCATTTTATAGATGAGAAACAAACTCAGAGAAACTGAGGGCCTTGCCCTCACCGCACAATTAGAAACTGTGGGGAGGGGGAACCCAGATGCCCTGACTCCAAATTCCCTGCTTCATTCCAACCCCGCTGCCTGCTGCCGGAGTAACATTTAATCAAACAGCAGCAGCGCAAGGGCCAGGTTGGTGCCCGTCACCTGAAGACTCTTAGACTCTCTTCCCTACCTGCTACTTTCTCCACGATCCTCCACAAACTTCTCCATGGGCCCAGTTGGATAAACTCCTAAATTCAAACCCCTGTGATGTGATGAGATTTCAAGAAGCTTGTAGCTGTTCGGGAAGCTCCACTCACACAGAGATTGCCTCTCAGGGGTTTTCTTTTAAAAACAACCTAACGGACACTCCAGAACACATCACCCCTCTCTCACTAAAGGGTGAGGGTGAGATATTGACAGCATTTCTTCCTTTTTTTTTTTTTTTTGCCTACATTACTGCCCTTCCTTGGGGATATATGAGTTCTCACTCTTATTAGTTGACATTTTTATTTCAAAATTGAAAAACCACTTCTGGTTCCTTAGAATTTTCTCTCTAGCCCTTTCATAGCAGATCTCTAAGTCTGACAGTTCCTTTCCCAGGCTGTCAGAAAGAAACTGAAAGAAGCTGCAGAGTGTGGAAAATGTTCACGGCTACAAACCCAAAACTAGAAATCACTAGGGCCACCTCTGTCTCGTAGCCCCCGTCCTGTGACCTCAGGGCTAAGGCCTTGGGGCCAAGGGGCAATCCTCTCTTCTGCCGAGGCCCTGGGGTCAGCCAAGTTCAGGCAGATCTTTCCACGTATATACTTACTGAGCCACAACGTGCAGTAGGAAGGAAGACAATAAAACAGCTCATAGGTCAGCCCAGGCCTTCCCCAGCTCAGTGGGCATTTCACAGGGGCTTCCAGGGAGCCCCAACCCATTGTGATTCTAAAAGACCTGTTTCACAGAAAGTAACAGACTGAATTGCAGCCCAAGGCCAGCCAGTGATTTTTTCAGAGTTCCGCCTGCACATATTGACCTGATGAGGATTTTGCTGAGAAATCAACAAATGGCACTTGCATCCGCCTGCAGAACAAGCAAGGATTTACCAGCAGCCTCTGCTGCTGCCCCAGCTCAAGTACTCCCAGCACAGGTGGGCACTGGTCAGGCCTCCCCCCAGCTCAGGTGGAAAGACCAAGCAACTCACAGGCACTGCGAGGGTTCCCAGGGGACTTCATTAGTGGCACCTGCCCTACAGCCACACCCCGAGAGCCAAAGTGCCCTGGAGAGCACATTGGCCTTGCCTGAGTATGAATCGCAGCTCTGTCCCCAGTTGGCCATGAGGATGTGAGCTGCCGACCACCCTACAGGGCCCAGGTCAGCCCCTCCTCCACAGCAAAGAACTCTCTGCTCCAAAATGTCAATGGTGCCAAGGCTGAGAACCCCCTCTGTAAACGATACACCTAGAAAGACTGGCCCTATGAATAAATACTTCGAAATGAAAAATGTTCAAATTTAAGGAATTCATTAAATGATAGTACATCCCTTTGATAGACAACTGTGTAACTATTTAAAACAATGTAGTGGCATATTTAACGTCATAGAAAGATATCCACAATATATCGTCAAGCGAAAAACACTCTACAAAACAGACTGGATATAATCTCATATTAGTAATAAATACACACACATATTCATGCATGCAGATATATCCATCACTCTATAATCCAGTCCCTGATTGCAGGGTGGACTCTGCCCCAACCCGCTGGAGCACAGACCTCCCCGACCCCTCCAAATCCACCTCCCACACACACGTTTTCTACAAGAATTCCAAGCACACTGGACATTCTTGTAGAGGAAATAGAGAAGGCTTTCCATTGCATACTTTGCTGTAAAGTTCCTCAGACATAATGCGCTCTCCTTAGTCCCTCTACTGGGATGACTCTACCTGCGGTCCTCCCCTCAGCCCTCCCTTGACCCCCACAGAGCCAGTCTCCGTGCCTCCTACCCTCCTCCTCCTCATCTCCCTGCCAGACCCCAGACCCCATCCCCGAATGTTCCACCTGCTGCTCACATACGTCAACAGGGCTCTGCTTCAGCTTGTCCAAATGCGCTCACCCACATCCACCCACCCAGCTCCAAGGGGCCCTCCAGTTCCCGGACTTGATGCCATTGAAAAAATGGTTGTTACTTAGGTGCATAAAATATCTATGTGTGCCTGTGTTGTGTGCACGTGTGTCTAAAACACAGAAAGTCACATCGAAATGTGCACCATGAGCATCTCTTGCGGTGGGTCCACAGGTGACTTTATTTCTCCCTTTCCTCTTACTTGGTTATTTCTACAGTGAACAAACTTACCTTTAAGAAAAATGATTTTTTTGAATAGCAACCTTTACTAGTAACTTTACTAGTAAACCTTCATGAGGCTTCTTGTCTCTCTCTGAGAGGCCTAGGCCAAGTAAAATGTCCCACTGACTTTGGTTTACTCTCCACAGCCCCCCGTTCTGAAGTTGGTTCCCAACAACTAAGGGCTTTTTGAAAATTCCACTGTCTGGGCAGGGATTCACAGTCCTGGTCCCACTGACATTTGGGGCTGGATAATTCCTGGTGGTTGGAGCCGCAGGGTGTTTGGCAGCTTCCCTGGCCTTTATCCACAAGATGCCCATAGTCATCTACCCTCCACCACCACCCCTACTCCACCAAGACTGCTATTTTTGGATGTTTCTCCCCTCTGAATCTCATGTTGAAATTTGGTCCCCAGTGTTGAAGAAGGGTCTAATGGGAGGGGTTTGGGTCATGGAAGCAGAGTCCTCATGAATAGATGAGTGCCCTTACTCGGGGCTGAATGAGTGCTCACTCTCATTAGTTCCTGGTAAGAGCTGGTTGTAAAAAGAGCCTGGCACTCCCTCCCGTCTCTCCTGCTCCCTCTCGCCGTGTGCTGTCTGCACTCGTTGGCTCCCCTTTGCCTTTCACCACACATGGAAGCAGCCTGAGGCCCTCACCAGATGCCCAGTCTTGAACCTTCCAGCCAGTAGAATTGTGAGTCAAAGAAACATCTTTCTTTATTAATTACCCAGCCTTGGGTATTCCTTGATAGCAACATAAACAGACTAAGACAACAATGATGTCTCTAGACACTGGTGCAGTGTGGCAAAAACATATATGCTGGGAGTCAGTAGGCCTGGGTCCTGGCCGGGGCCACCACTAACTATCTGAGGTTAGTGGTGCCTCCTCTAGCCACCTTGGTATCAAGTTCCTCATCTTGATCAAAGAGGCTTAAAGAAAAGAATTTCTAAATATCCTTCCAACTTAAAAATTCTAATGAAGAGTGCTTCTGAAAAGCATGGTCTTGGCCGGGCACAGTGGCTCACGCCTGTAATCCCAGCACTCTGGGAGGCTGACGCGGGTGGATTATCTGAGGTCAGGAGTTCAAGACCAGCCTGGCCAACATGGTGAAACCCCATCTCTACTAAAATTACAAAAATTAGCCGGGTGTGGTGGCACACACCTGTAATCCCAGCTATTTGAGAGGCTGAGGCAGGAAAATCGCTTGAACCCGGCAGACAGAGGTTGTGTTGAGCCAAGGATCACGCCACTGCACTCCAGCCTGGGTGACAAAGCAAGACTCCATCTCAAAAACAAATAATAATAATAATAATAATAATAATAATGAAAATCATGGAAAGAATGACCTCAACTGAGTTGTGCTACCTCCCCTGTCCCTCCTAGCCATCCTCCACATCCAGCCACAGCCACTTTCCCAAACCCCAAATCTGTGCAGCCCTTCCCCACTTTACACCCTACAAAGATCCCGCCCTCCGCAGAGCCTGGAAATGGGTTGAGAAGCTTGGCTGGGCATCTGTTCTGTTAGTGCCCAAAGATGATTCAGCATTTACCCTGAGTCAGGCATGGTGTTTTCCCAAATGTGCTGTGTGGCTCTCTAACTTTTTTTTTTTCTTTGCAAAGTGGGGCCCTCTTTCCTCTTTAGCCTTCCTCACTCCTGCTCATCCTCCAGAGCTACGCCAATTGTCACTCCTCAAAGAGCCTTCCTTAAACTAGAGTCTGTCAAGGACAACCCACCCCACCCACTCCCTGAGCCACGTTGGTGGGCTGCCCACCGCAATGCCCATCTTGCCTCACATAGTCCTTGGTTCACTTCTATTGCTCCACTGAAGTCCTATGTCTGGTCACATTCCAGCCTCTGTCCCTGAAGCTTGTACCATACCCGGGCCAGAGCAGGTGTTCCATAAATGGCTCATTGAATGAGACTCTGTTCCATTGCTTATTCACTGAGAAACCTTGGCCACAGTATTTATCCTCTTTGCTATGAACCGAGTGTTTTTGTCTCCTTCAAAATTTATATGTTGAAACCTTAACCCCCAAAGTGATGGTGTTAGGAGATAGGGCCTTTGGGGGGTGATAATATCACAGGGTGGATCCCTCATGAATGGGGCTAATGACCTACCAAGAAAAGAAACAAGAGAGAGCTGCCTTGTTCCCTCTACCATGTGAGGACACAGTGAGAAGGCACCATCTATGAACCAGAAAGTGACCTTCACCAGACACTAAATATGCTTGTTCTCGGACTTCCCAGCCTCCACAACTGTGAGAAATAGATTCCCGTTGCTTATAAGCTACCAGTCTATAGGATCTTGTTGTAGCAGCGAGAACTAAGACACTCTTTTTTTTTTTTTTTTTTTTGAAATGGAGTCTCACTCTGTCACCCAAGCTGGAACGCAGTGGCACAATCTCAGCTCACTGCAACCTCCACTCCCAGGTTCAAGCAATTCTCCTATCTCAGCCTCCCAAGTAGCTGGGATTACAGGCGTGAGCCACTGAGCTTGGCCTAAGATACTCTTGAAGTCTCAATTATCTCGTCTTTAAACTGGAGATGATAATGGCTTCTCCCTCAGAAAGCTGAAGTGAGGAGAAAACGAGGCCATGCCTGTCAGAAACTTCCCAGCCCAGGCCACCCGGCCCAATACATGTTAGCAATGATCCACAGCTAATATCATCTCTATCTAGTGAGCCCAAAAACAGCTCCTGTGAGTTATGAAAGAAGGAGCAAAAAGCTTCCTGTGGGCCGGGCGCGGTGGCTCAAGCCTGTAATCCTAGCACTTTGGGAGGCCGAGGCGGGTGCATCATCTGAGGTCAGGATTTCGAGGCCAGCCTGGCCAACAAGGTGAAACCCCATTTCTACTAAAAATACCAAAAAAAAATTAGCCGGATGTGGTGATGCATTCCTGTAGTCCCAGCTACTTGGGAGGCTGAGGCAGGAGAATCGCTTGAACCCAGGAGGTGGAGGTTGCAATGACTGATATTGAGCCATTGCACTCCAGCCTCGGCAACGGAGCGAGACTGTGTCAAAACAAAACAAAACAAAAGGCTCCAGTGATGAATGCTGAAGGGTGGGAATGAGAAGCAGAAACATCTAGGAAAGAATGCCCCACTAACCCCTTGGCATGACCTGAAAACCCTCTCAGCCAGCAGGAGAGAAGACCAGGCTGCTCCCCAGGGCCCTGCGCTGCGACTTGCGGTTGAAAGTTAGGCTGTGTTAGCCACAGGCAACAGGGACAAGCCGGGAGCAGAAAGTTAGGCTGTGTTAGCCACAGGCAACAGGGACAAGCCGGGAGCAGGGGCAACCTCCCCTTAACGTGAGCCTCAGCAGAGCTGGCGCAGGCCCTGTGCTCCCTGGCCTGGCCGAAGCCGTCAAGCTTTCCTCCTGGAAACAGGGCCGGGAGCAGCCGTAGCGCCGGCAGCAGGAAGTCTGGGGCCCAGGAGTGGATGGCAAAGCAGGTGAGGAAGGGGATGCAGTGGGGCAGAGAGAAAGTGTCAGCAGCGTCTCGGGGATGTCATGGAATAAGGAGATGCTCACCTATTCCAGAAGTTTCTTTAACTGTAGATTGGAGAAGAAAAGAGACAAGACTCCAGAAGTCCCAGAGATAGCTTATTTATGTATTTTAGAGATAGGGTTTCACTCTGTTGCCCAGGCTATAGTACAGTGGCATAATCATAGCTCACTGCATCTTTGAAGTCCTGGGCTCAAGGGATCCTCCCACCTCAGCCTCTCAACTAGCTGGGACTACAGGCACGCACCACTATACCCAGCTAACTTTTTTATTTTATGTAGAGACGGGGTCTCCCTGTGTTGCCCAGGCTGGTCTCAAACTCCTGGGCTCAACCAATCCTCCCACCTTAGCCTTCCGAAGTGCTGGGATTACAGGCATGAGCCACCGTGCCTGGCCTAGAAAGAGCTTATTTTTACAAACAAGTTTAAAGCCACACTGGTGTCACCTCCCAATAACAGAGGGCAAATCCCCACTATTTTTGTCACTCCTTTTGGTCAAACCATTGCCTTCACCAAGCCCTCTTGATAAGTTTATCTGGCACTCATAACAAAATATGACACAATGACCCACCCATAACTGCCCATGAAAACCATTTTTTGGATCAGTTTTTAATGAATAAAAGGAGGTTTCTTTTTGAAGACAGTAGCTCTAGGTAGAACCAAAGAACCACTGGTGGGATTCAGAAGACAAGAAAACGGCCTAGTCTGTTTGCCTAATGTCTCCATCCTGGTCCTCAGTTAATAGCTGAGCCAGGAAATGTTGACAAAGTGTGTCATTCAGGGAAGCCCTGAGTGTTCAACACCAAGGACTGGAATAAAACCCAAGTGAAAGCCATCTAGCCCATTTCCTCCCGACTTGGCATACCCACATGTCTGGACGCGCCTAGCCACCTGCTGCCGTCCCCGCTGTGAAACTGACATGGTCAGATGTCATGCTAGCGGAAGGCTTTAATTGAAGCCGCATTAAATTAATTACATCATTTTTGCTTTCCAAGCTTAATTCCCTTGAAGTTACATCATGAAACCAGGGCATTACAAAGGATTAGGGACCAAAGGAAGGTAGAGCTGAACAAGGCTTCCATATGCCCATGACTCATGTCTAATACTCATGTCCCCAGTGTGGACCCCTGTGACTCACCACTGATATCAGCAACAATTCCATGTGGCTTCCACTCATAGGGATTTTTGGTCTTGCCTCCTGCTGCTGAGAACTCTGAGAGCTCCCTGGGTTAGTCAGAAGTCAGGGAAGCTGTAGGCAGGACTCACCATCCCAAATGGGACCTTTCAAGGTCTGTGCTTACTTTGGAAGACTTTGAGACTAATTTAGTTCAGTATTTCCCCAAAAGTGGTGTTACCAAGAATGTTAGTAGATGTTATGTGGAAAACAAAGGGTCGAGTGGTCAAATACATTTGAGAAGAGGTTTAATAAACAGGTTTCCTTCCTGGAAGCCTCCTCTAAGCCTTCAACCTGCTAAGTTCACTGTGAATGTCCAGAAAGCAATAGAGTATGCAGCATTTCCCAAAGCGGGTACACCATGGAATCGCCTCTGCAGAAGAATCCTGTGGGGTTGGCACACTGATAAACACATTTTGGAAAAGGCTTTTTGGTTGTAGCTTCTCCTCCCACCATCCTCCCTTGCCATGAAGATAGAGCAGTCTCCAGACACCTGTTTCTAAAACAGCGACTTCACATCCATCCCTGCCATTTGGCACATTCTGCAGGAGTTCACACAAGCAAATAAACATGTTTTGGTTTCCACTGAAGAACCACTATGCTGTGTGGCATGGCAATGCTGAGAGGGGCCTCTGGGACTGCTTGATTCTTATTTTACCAGAAGAAGATGTGGCCGATGGAGCAGAAGTGACTGGCTGGAGATAAGACAGCTAGAGGGACACAGAGCTAAGACTGGATACCCATTGTCCTAAAACTCCACCCGCAATAATGGGATCAGCCTCTCAGGTACAAATAAAGGGAGTTACTAGTTGATTAGCTGATTAGTTACTAGTTACTAAATTACAGAGTCATTGTTAGATAAATGGATTACTAGACCCATCTAGCAAAGAAGCTTTTGAACAGAACAAGCAGCAACACTCTAGAGGTGGTAGGCAGTGCCAAGAGTTAGGAGACAAAGGCAAATGACTATGGGTTATTCTTTTCTGAGGTTCCACGAAATCCTATGCACAACTCTACCCAGAATTTACCACATTAAAATGCAATGAAATATTTGGGGATCTTCTTTCTGTATCAGAGTTCTTGGTTGCAGACAACAGAATCCACGCTAGCTAATTTAAGCAAAAAGATGGTTTTATTAAACGGTAGTGAATAGTGCATGCAATCGTCAGGAGAAACAGAGAATGAGATCAGATGTGATGCAAGCAGGAATAACAGAGCCAGGAGAAATGCCCAATCACACCACAGACCTGCTACAGGGAACACTGATGGCTTCTGCCACCCACCACTGGAACCTATGATACCGGGCTGGATGCTGAAAACCCACAGCAGCCCTAGAAACCAGTTACCCCTGCCACCATGCTTGTCAGAACACCTGCATAAAATCAGCACCTCACCTTGCTCACTTCTGCATCTGGATCTCCAGCAGAGGCACGTGCTAGGCCAAGCTAAGTCACATGCCTCACCATTTGTTATGGACTGAATTGTGTTTTTCCTAAATTCAGATCTCTATGATAGTCCTAACCCCTAATAAGACTGTATTTGGAGACAGGACATTTAAGGGAGTAATTTGGGTTAAATGAGCTCATAAGGGGCGGAGGGAGCCAATATGACTGGTGTCCTTATAAGAAGAGGAAAAGATGCTGGGAATGCACATATACAAAGAGGAAAAACCACGTAAAGACACAGGGAGGAGGAGGAGGAGGAGGCCATCTGCGAGCCAAGGAGAGAGCCCTCAGGAGAAATCAACCCTGCCAACACTTGGATCTTCGACTTCCAGCCTCCAGAACTGTGAGACAATAACTATCTGTTGTTTAAGCCATCCAGTCTGTGGTATCATGTTATGGCATCCAAGCAAACTAATACACCCTGGATGAAAGGGAAACATAGTTTGTAGGTTTCCAGCCTTAGTAACTGGGGGGAAGAAAATGGGAAGAACCGATGCACAGAATCCACCACACTTTATCTAAACAACAGGCTTGCCACTGAGTTTAGAAATGCGTGGGGGCATTTTTTGTTGTTGTTGCAATGGAAAGAGGGAATGCTGTTGGCATTTAGAGGGTGGAACCAGTGGTACTAAATACCCTGTAATGTATGGACCATCCCAGGCCACAAATAATTTTTGCACAAAAATGCTAACAGCTCTGTCTGTTGAGAAACTCTAGGCTAGAATGGGAGCCTCATGAAAACAGAAATGAGTTATTTTCTCTGACATCAGCACCCGAGTGTGGCACCTAGGAGATGCTCAATCAAGTTGTGTTGAATAAACGTATATAAATGAATGATTATAAGGAGGAATGAAAGAATAAATGAATGGGCAGAATAAGAATGGAAACAGCCCAGAACTAGAAGCAACTAAATATCTGAGTCATACAGGCATAAAATTATATTTTCTTTTTATTTTTTTCTCACTGACAATTGAGCTTGAAATCGAAAAGTTGAAACAGAGGTGCACTGAAGCGATTGCATGGCTGATTGATTGTTTGGTTCGTTAATGAGCAGATCGGTGGAGGATGGAGTCAGGCAGGAGAGATGGGCTGGGGTTGGCCATGGGGAGTTAATCAGTCACAGTGTGGGCACAAGGCGAGAGAGTCCTGGGGCCATGAAACTTACATACAACCAAAACCCTTCTTTTACATATATCCATCACCATGACAGAGCACTTGAATGGTATCAAAATCTCACTTTTTACAACCAAAACATTGCCCCCACCAAGCCCTCTTAATAGGTCAATATGTCACCTGAAGGGTGACACCATGACCAATATCTGCCCATCACAGCAATTTTTAGATTAGTTTACAATGCAAGTAGGTCTGTTTTTGAAGAATGTAGTCGTAGGTAGATAAAACCAGTGGCAGAAATCAAAAGACTTTAGAAAACAGAGTAGCATGGGTGCCTTTGATCCCCAACCCTAGTCCTGAGTTGAGACAGGAAATATTGCCAAAGTATGTCTTTCAGGAAAGCCCAAGGTGTTCAACACCAAGGAATAGAATAAAACCCAAATGAAAACCATCTAGCCAATTTCCTCCCCAGTTGGTGTACACGTGTCTGGATGTGTCAGCCACCTGCAGCTGTCCCCCTTGTGAAACTGACATGGTCAGATATCATGCTGCGGGCTCTCTGCAACTTCTCTTGGACACATCTAAACTTCCCTCCCAGCATGACCACATCGCCTCCCACCTGGGCCACAACAATTGCTAACTCTCCACCCTGCCAGGACTCCCCTGCACCCCGCAACTGTGCCACACATTAATCTCTTCCAGCCTAGTTAACATACCTGTGTTTCCTGTCATATTTCACACACAAAAATACATCCAATGAGGCAATTAAAACACCAATAGAAATAGAAAATGAGAACCAAAGAAAAGAGAACCACAGTAGTCCAACCATTTGCCCCAGTGTTTCCTGGGAGCCATGGCACAAAGGAAGTCAGATGGATTGTGTAAATTTCATTAATGAAGAAGAAGAAAACTACAAACTCTTGAAGGAAAGCAGCTCTTCCCAAGTTCCTACATTAAGAAAGGACTCCTACAGGATTTCATGTGGAGGACAATGAAAGACACTAGGAGCAAAGTCCTCAGCGGCATCATTCACTAAAGATGCAATAGCAGATTTCATATGAAGGTTTCTTCCTCCTGAGCCAAGAGTGTAAAATGTAAATGCAGTTTAGAGAAGGCATCATTCCCAATAGTCTCATTGTTTTTTTTTTTTTTTTTTGAGAAAGAGTCTCACTCTGTCACCAGGCTGGAGTGCAGTGGCGCGATCTCCGCTCACTGCAACCTCCGCCTCCCGAATTCAAGGAATTCTCCTGCCTCAGCCTCCCGAGTAGCTGGGACAACAGGTGCCCGTCACCATGCCTGGCTAATTTTTTGTATTTTTAGTAGAGACGGGGTTTCACCATGTTAGCCGGGATGGTCTCGATCTCTTGACCTTGTGATCCGCCCGCCTTGGCCTTCCAAAGTTCTGGGATTACAGGCTTGAGCCACTGCGCCCGGCCTCCAATAGACTCATTTTTCTTAAGTCTGCATTTATCGTGTTACTTTACTGCCCAGAACCAATGTTGTCTCTTTCTTCCCTACCTCTTCTGAGTGGCTATCTCTAGCCTGGCTCCCAGGCTTTTCCTACTGATGGAAACTTCCCCCAGCACTCCCTAGCATGCCCTCGAGGCCCTCCTTATCTAAGGACAGGGCTCCTCCCCACCTTCCAATTCATCTCAGACTGGAAACCAAATCCTGCAGCTCCTGCAAGGAGAGAAGTGGAATGGGAAGGAAGGAGAAGAATAAAGGGGAGAAGAAGGGAGGAAAAAAAAAACCGAAGGAAGAAGGAAAGGAGCCAAAAGAGAAAAGAGATACCCTGACACTCCAACTCCAGGGATGGATTCACACTTAAGGCTGGGTCTAAACCCTGCGGCATCCATGGACTTTCCATCCTGCCCCCGTCTTGGCCGTGCCTCCCCTTTCCTGAGTGGCTGGGTGCTGCACCGCGTTCCCCCTACCGCGTGCCCTCTGGCACCTCAGGCTCTGGCAAGACTAAGAACTTGACGTTCCTCCAAACACACCAAAACGGTCTACCCAATATCCACTCCCTGCTTCTTCCTTAATTAACAGACTTCGGGCTCTATTCAGGGCTGCAACGTGCTCAGATAAAAGACTGCATTTTGCTGCCTCTCTTGAATCTAGACAAAAGTCCCAGGGTGAGGTTTCTGCGAAGTCTTTTTCAAGGGAACTGATTCAGCTGGAAGAAAGAGCCATTACCCCTTGCCCTTCCCCTTCACTCTGCCTGAAATACTATAGACCCCTTATTCAAGGGGGAGTTGTGTTCCAAGACCCCCAATGGATGCCTGAAACTGAGGACAGAACTGAACCCTATATATACATTTTTTTTTCCTATACCTAGACACCTATGATAGTTTAATTTCAAGGCTGGGCACAGTGGCTCTCGCCTCTAATCCCGGAACTTTGGGAGGCCGAGGTGGGTGGATCATCTGAGGTCAGGAGTTCAAGACCAGCCTGGTCAACATGGTGAAACCCCATCTCTACTAAAAATATAAACATTAGCTGGGCATGGTGGCGCGCGCCTGTAATCCTAGCTACTTGGGAGGCTGAGGCAGGAGAATCGCTTGAACCCAGGAGGCAGAGATTGCAGTGAGCTGAGATTGCATCGCTACACTCCAGCCTGGGCAACAGAGCAAGACTCCATTGTTGTTGGTTTTTGTTTGTTTAAGTTTAATTCCTGGCCAGGCACAGTGGCTAACACCTGTAATCCTAGCACTTTGGGAGGCCAAAACGGGCGGATCACGAGGTCAGGAGATCAAGACCATCCTGGCTAACACAGTGAAACCCCGTCTCTACTAAAAATACAAACAATTAGCCAGGCGTGGTGGCGGTTGCCTGTAGTCCCTGCTACTTGGGAGGCTGAGGCAGGAGAATGGTGTGAACCCGGGAGGCAGAGCTTACAGTGAGCCAAGATCGTGCCATTGCACTCCAGTCTGGGTGACAGAGCAAGACTCCGTCTGGGGAAAAAAAAAAAAAGTTTAATTCATAAATTAGGCACAGTAAGAAATTAACAATAACTAATAAAAAATAGAACAATTATAACAATATGTCACTATCACTACTCTTGCACTTTTAAGAATTATACCACAAGCACAATACCACATTAGTTGATCCGATAACCAAGACCACTAAGTGACTAACA